>NC_000002.12:26146119-26298869 GCF_000001405.40 Homo sapiens | reverse complement strand
CCACTCCCAGTTCGGGTGGCAAGAGTGCCAGCAAGCTCTTCCTTGCTGCACTTGCCGCTCTATCGGCCTATTTTCTCCTTTCCACCTTATTAGTGGGGACACAAGCTTCATCCAAATTGGCAGGCCATTCCTGCCGCCCCCCAGCCACTCTGGGTTGGATTAGTGATTGGTCCCCGGGAGGTGATCAAGCTCCCCTTCGCCCCTATGAGACGGGCTTTCCTGCCTTGGGCCTTTTTTCCTTACCGTGGTTCCTGAAGTGCTGGTATCGTCCTGCAGCCCAGTCTCCGGTTCTGTTGCGCTGCCGGGCAGGGCACTGGGACGCGGGGAGAGCCAGTCTCCATCCAGGTGAAGCTCCCCCATGGCGCGCCTTGGATGCCGGGTCTCCCCGAGCCCCAGGGCCCTAAGTCCCCCAGGCAAAGGAGACAGTAAATCTGTCGTCTCCAGTTCCTGTACGGGCCACCAGAAATGCAGTGGGATAATTAAAGAATCAGAGAGACCGAGGGGTTGAGGAGGAATTATTCAATTATTTAGATGCACCGACCGAGTCGGATTAACATTTAAAGGACTGAGCCTTGAACAAAGAGTCAAGCTACCTTTTAAGCATTTTGTGGGGCGAGGGGAGATCTGTGCAGGGGGAAGCCTATTATAGAAACGAGAAGCAAAGACAGTTATTTAACTGAGACATGCATTATATTACTTTTTACTTTTTAAGGAACAACATGTTTTATGACTTGAGATTATCTGTCTAGTGACCTTACAGCTGCATAGCTAGAGAAACAGTCTTCACAATGCCTGGGAAAGGGAGAGAGAAGGCTCACTAGCCACAGAAAAACAGGCAGTTGATTTTAAAGGACTCCAGCTCTTTCTCTTCTTCAGGGGGAATTGGGTTTTTTACATGTAACTGAGTTTTTGCTCACACATTCTTTAATTTCTTTTAATTTCTGTTCCAATATAGCTAAGTAAAACAACAGCATTCCAGAACAGCATTATACTATGCAATTTTGGTCCCTATGTAACCGAATGCAGGTGTGGATGCTTGCTGCTTGCAGAGTCCAATTAACAAGAGCAAGGTCTGGTAGAAAGAAAGTGATTTCATTATCCAAAACTAGTAAAGGGGCCGGGCGCGGTGGCTCATGCCTGTAATCCCAGCACTTTGGGAGGCCAAGGTGGGCAGATCACCTGAGGTCAGGAGTTCAAGACCAGCCTAGCCGACATGGCAAAACCCCGTCTCTCCTAAAAAATACAAATATTAGCCAGGCGTGATGGCAGGCACCTGTAATCCCAGCTATTCGGGAGGCTGAGGCAGGGAGAATGGCTTTAACCCGGGAGGCGAAGGTTGCAGTGAGCCAAGATCGCACCACTGCACTCCAGCCTGGTGACAGGGTGAGACGCTGTCAAAAAAAACCTAGTAAAGGGAAAGCAGCCAGATTCCCATCCAAAGCAACCACTTCAATTTTTGAGGGGAAGGCAGGGGTTTAAAAAGGGAAAATTTGATAAGCAAGGCATTCAAGAACTGTGGTAAATACAACATATGTGTGTCTCGTTCTGGTGGCTCTCTTGGGTCCCAGTCCACCTGGTGTGTGGGCTGGCGTCATCTCAACAATGGCCAGGTTGTTAACTAGCTGCCTTGAAGTCATCTCTGGAATTTTGCAGCTGGGTCTCCAGGCTTGGTCTGTCTGTCTCAAGATTAGTGCCTGGAAGTTCTAGGAAGGCACAATTAGATACTAGTATACAATTAGATAAATGTGAAGGGAGTATATATCGTGAGAAAAGGAGGGTCATGGAGTCTGTTTTAAGGCTAAGGGAAAAGGTTTCTACAGTTTGCTTCCAGGTTATATCTTGAAATTCAAGACAAAAAAAAAGTTTTAAAATGCACTTTGAAGTTAAGCTGCCTGGTGACACATTTGTCCATACAAGTATGAGCGCCTCGAAAGGAAGAGATATCAAAGCATTATCAATGGGTAAGTGGGTATCTCTACTTGATTTTTCATTTTTTTCTACTCTATATTATTTGAGTTGTTCTTTGACAATGAGCATTTTTTATTATATATACATCATGAACTGATATTAAAGTCAAGCTGATTAACGTGTCCATCTCATCTTGTGTGTGTGTGTGTGTGTGTGTGTGTGTGTGTGTGTGTAATCAGATCCCTCGGACTTATTCATCCTATGTAACTGCAATAAACTTTTGTTTTTTCTTTTTTTTTGAGACAGGGCTCTCTCTGTCACCCAGGCTGGAGTGCAGCCTGGACTTCCTGGACTCAGGTGATCCTCCCACCTCAGCCTCCCAAGTAGCTGGGACTATAGGGACGTGCTGCCACATCTGGTTAATTTTTTCTTTTTTGTAGAGACAAGGTCTCACTATGTTGCCCAGGCTGTTCTCGAAAACCTGGGCTCAAGTGATCCTCCCACCTCGGCCTCCCAAAGTGCTGAGATTATAGGTGTGAGCCACCTCGCCCGGACAGCATGTATTTCTTACATTAGAAAAAAAATAAAATGAGAATCAGAAAAAATAAAATGAGAATCAGAAAAAATAAAATGAGAATCACTTGAACCTGGGAGGTGGAGGTTGCAGTGAGCCAAGATCACGCCATTGCACTCCAGCCTGGGCTACAGAACAAGACTGTTAAAAAGGAAGGAAAGAAGGAAGAGAGGGAGGGAAGGAGGAAGGGAGGAAGGAGAGAAAATGATTTTGGAAAAGTTCTCTTTAATATTTTGCATATTTAAAAGTATAAACTTGTGTGCTTGCTTTTCATTCCTCAAGAAAGACTAGCATTTGAGAGGCCTGGAGAAAAACACAACTGAGAAAGGCCAGGAGGAGAGGAGAGGCTCTGGAAAGGGGGAAGCAAAAAGGGCAGGAATTTTGGTCTGTTTTTTAATGGTTGTTGTAGCCTCAGCATCCAGAATAGTGCCTGACACATAAAAGTCACTCAATAGAATAAATAAATGAATAAACTATATAGAGTATAGAAAGAACATGCAGTTACTTAGAATCAGATACCATCAGAAGCAAACAACTGGGGAATAGGGGGAAGTTTGAACGAAAGATAAGGACAAATAAAAGGCTCTACTGCCAAATGATTAGTTGGTGGAGCAGAGGCTCTAATTACAGTGACAGCCTGGTTTAACTGTGGTATATACCCACAAGGGAATACTATGCAGCCTTAAAAAGGAAGGTAATCCTGTGACAAGCTACACTAGTGAACCTTGAGGACCTTATGCTGAGTGAAATAAGCCAGTCACAAAAGGACAAATTCTGTAGAGGCTGGTCTCAAACTCCTGGGCTCAAGCCATCCTCCTGTCTCAGCCTCCCAAAATGTTGGGATTACAGGCATGAACCAGTGCAGCCATTTTCAAATGTACAGTTTAGTAAGATACATTCACATTATTATTCAACCAATCTCAAGAACACTCTTCATCTTTGAAAATGAAAATTGTATCCATGAAACAACAACTCCCCATATCCCTGGCCCCAAGCCCCTGGCAGCCATCATTCTACTTTCTGTCTCTATGAACGTGACTACTCTAGGTCCCTCATGTCAGTGGAATCCTACAGAATTTGTCCTTTTGTGATGGGTCCTCAAGGTCCACCTGTGTTGTAGTATGTTACAGGATTGCTTTCCCTTTTAAGGCTGCACAGTATTCCCTTGTACATATATACCAATTTATCTGTATTTTGTTTATCCATTCACCCGTCAATGGACATTTGAGTTGCCTCCACCTTCTGGCTATTGTGACAAATGCTGCTATGAACATGAATATACAAATATTTTTCCAAGCCCCTGCTTTTTTTTTTTTTTTTTTTTGAGACAGAGTCTTGCTCTGTCGCTAGGCAGGAGTGCAGTGACTCGATCTTGGCTCACTGCAACCTCTGCCTCCCGGGTTCAAGCGATTCTCCTGCCTCAGCCTCCCAAGTAGTTGGGATTACAGGCACGCACCACCACGCCCAGCTAATTTTTGTATTTTTAGTAGAGACAAGGTTTCACCATGTTGGCCAGGATGGTCTCGATCTCTTGACCTTGTGATCCGCCCACCTCGGCCTCCCAAAATGTTGGGATTACAGGCATGAGCCACTGCACCCGCTCCCCCTGCTTTCAGTTCTTTTGGGTATATGCCCAGAAGTGGAATTGCTGGCTCATAGGGTAATTCTATGTTTAATTTTTTTAGGAACTGCCATGCTGTTTTCTATAGCAGCTGCACCATTTTACATTTCTACGAACTGCACAAAAGAATTCCCATTTTTCCACATCCTCACCAACCCTTGCTATTTTCTGTTCTTTTGATAGTAACCATAGTAATGGATTAATGGATGTGAAGAGGTATCTCATTGTGGTTTTGATTTGCATCTCCCTAATGATTAGTAATGTTGAACATCTTTTCCTGTGCTTATTGGTCATCTTGTTTGGAGATGAAGATATTCAAATTATTGGCTTTTTTTTTTTTTTTTTTTTTTTTTTTTTGAGACAGAGTCTCGCTCTGTCGCCCAGGCTGGAGTGCAGTGGTGCGATCTCGGCTCACTGCAAGCTCCGCCTCCCAGGTTCACGCCATTCTCCTGCCTCAGCCTCCTGAGTAGCTGGGACTACAGGCGCCCGCCACCACGCCCGGCTAATTTTTTGTATTTTTAGTAGAGGCGGGGTTTCACCATGTTAGCCAGGATGGTCTCGATCTCCTAGCCTCCTGATCTGCCCGCCACAGCCTCCCAAAGTGCTGGGATTACAGGCGTGAGCCACTGCGCCCAGCCTATTTGCCCATTTTTAAATGGGGGTTTTCTGGGTGTGAATTTTAGTTCTTTACACTTTCTGAATATTAATTAATATAATTCAGATATATGGTTTGCAAATATTTTCTCCCATTCCATAGGCTACCCTTTCACTTTGTTAATTGTGCCCTTTGATGCAGTTTTTAATTTTGATGAAATCCAATTTAATCTATTTTTTCCTTTGTTGCCTATGCTTTTGGTGTCATATCCAAGAAATCACTGCTGAATCTAATGTCATGTATTTTCCCCCATGTTTTCTTCTAAGTGTTTATAAAACTATAAATTTTAGCTTTTATCTTTCTTTAGGTCTTTGATCTGTTTGAGTTCATTTTTGTATAGGGTGTAAGGTAAGGGTCCAACTTCATTATTTTGCATGTGGATGTCCAGTTTCTCCAACACCATTTGCTGAAAAGACTGTCCTTTCCCCCATGAATGGTCTTGGCACTGTTTTTGGCAATGTTGTCAAAAAGCATTTGATGGCCAAGTGCAGTGGCTCACACCTGTAATCCCAGCACTTTGGGAGGCAGAGACGGGTGGATCACTTGAGGCCAGGAGTTCAAGACCATGATGGCCTGGCCAACATGGTGAAACCCCGTCTCTACTAAAAATACAAAAAAATTTAGCCGGGCTTGGTGGTGCATGCCTGTAGTCCCAGCTACTTGGGAGGCTGAGGCAGGAGAATCGCTCGAACCTGGGAGGCAGAGGTTGCAGTGAGCTGAGATCGCTCCACTGCACTCCAGCCTTGGGTGACAGAGTAAGACTCTGTCCCAACCCCCACCCCACCCCAAAACAAACAAAAAAAGCATTTGACTATGTATGTGAGGATTTATTTCTAAGCTTAAAAAAAAAACTATTAACTCCAGACTTTATTCAGATTTCACCAGTTTTTCCATGAATGTCCTTTTTCTGTTTCAGAATCCAGTCCAGGATATTACATCACATTTAGTTGTCATGTCTCCTTAACCTCTACTGATCTAGACAAATTCTCAGTATTTCCTTTTTATGACTTTGATAGTTTCAAGTTTTGAGTATTGGTCAAGCATTTCATAGACTGTCCCTCAGTTTGGGTTTGCCTGTTTTCTCATGATTCCACTGGATTATGGGTATTTGGAAAGAATACCACAGAGGTGAAGTGTACCTTGATTACATCTTAGGAGGCATGTGCATCCACATGGCAGCACTGATGATGTTAACCTTGATCACCTGGTTAAGCTGGTGTTTGCCGTTTCTCCACTGTAAGGCTGCCTTTTTCCCTTTCCATACAGTATTTACTGGAGTTGAGTCACTAAGTCCAGCCCACACTCAAAGCGGGGGCGGGGGATGCTCCACCTCCTGAAGTCAGGAGTATCTACGCGTTATTATTTGTAATTCTTCAGTAAGGAAGATGTGTCTCTTTTCCCTTCCCTTAGCTGTTTTAGAAACTATTTTTACCTCGTCTGTAGGCATCTTAGATACTTAGTTTTGCTTGTTTTTGAAACTTTCCTGTCAGTGATCATGACAGGAATATTTTGCTATTAAGAGCAATGCTGCTGTGAACAGGTTTGTACATATTTCCTGGACTCATGTGCAAGTTTTCTTAGGGAATATTCCTAAGAGCAGAAAAGCTGGGTCACAGACCTTGTGTTATATTCAGATGTACAAGATAATGCCAGACTGTTTTTCTTTTTTTGAGACGGAATATCGCTCTGTTGCCCAGGCCGGAGTGCAGTGGCGCGATCTCGGCCTCCTGGGTTCACACCATTCTCCTGCCTCAGCCTTCCGAGTAGCTGGGACTACAGGCGCCCGCCACCACGCCCGGCTAATTTTTTTTTTTTAAGTAGACAGGGTTTCACCGTGTTAGCCAGGATGGTCTCAATCTCCTGACCTCGTGATCCACCCGCCGTGGGCTCCCAGAGTGCTGGGATTACAGGTGTGAGCCACCGCGCCCGGCCCAGTTGCCAGACTGTTTTTCAAAGTGGTTTTGCCAATCTGCATTCTCACCAGCAGCATATAAAGTTCTAATTTGTCCACATCCAAGACCAACACTGGTATTCTCAGTCTTGTTAACTTTTGCCAGTCAGGCAGGTGTATTTCATTATGATCTTAATTTGTTTTTCCTGATTACTATTAAGCATCTTATTTACCATTTGCATATCATTTTCTAAAAATTGTGTTAAGATCTTTTGCCTTTTTTTTTTTTTGAGACAGAGTCTCACTCTGTCGCACAGAGCTAGAGTGCAGTGGCGTGATCTCAGCTCACTGTAACCTCCGCCTCCCGGGTTCAAGTGATTCTCCTGCCTCAGGCTCCTGAGTAGCTGGGATTACAGGCGCCCACCACCATGCCTGGCTAATTTTTGTATTTTTAGTAGAGACGGGGTTTCACCATGTTGGTCAGGCTGGTCTTGAACTCCTGACCTCATGATCTGCCTGCCTCGGCCTCCCAAAGTGCTGGGATTACAGGCGTGAGCCGCCGTGCCCAGCCGAGTGGTCTTTACTCTTATTGATTTGTAGGAATTATTTATATATCCTGGATCCTTTTAAAGCTGTATCTACTATATTTGCTCCACTTTTAGTTTGTTTCTCCACCACTCTGTATCATCACATGAAGAATAAAAGTTCTTATTTCAACACAGGCAAATTTATAGATCTTTCATGATTAGTATTTTCAATGTTTTCTTCAAGAAATCCCTCTCTTCCTTCAACCTAAGGTCACAGGGTTATTTTTTTTCTAAATTTTAAGGTTTTTACATTTTATATTTAACTTATCTATACCTGATTTTTGTGATATATATGTAAATATAATGGTTTTCGTATTAAAAACTCACATTATAATTACCAAGGAAACCATGGGGAAACGATGCTGGGACTCTCAAATATCCTTTTAAGAGGTTAGCACTAGGTCTCCTGCCCAATCTGTCCCTGAACTACAGGGTAATTTTGATTCCCAGTAACTTTCATAGACCTAAGCAACAGTCACACAAATGTCCATAAAAAGAAGCTAGTGTTTCTTTAAACACTCGCATCCATGTTATTTTAGTACAGGGTAGTTTTCAAAAATCTGAGAGGATTTAGAGTAGTTGATCAAAATAAAAAACTTCTTTACACTTTATTTAAATCCTAGCTAACAGAAGCATCTCCAAACAGTGAAATAAACATTCTGCAGTTCAGCAGTGGGGAAAACAAAATGTGTTATTCTAAAACAGGACTGTCAGGCTGGGCGCAGTGGCTCACACCTGTAATCCCAGCACTTTGGGAGGCCGAGGCAGGTGGATCACCTGAAGTCAGGAGTTTGAGACCAGCCTGGCCAACATGGCAAAACACTATCTCTACTAAAACTACAAAAATTAACCAAGTGTGGTGGTGGGTGCCTGTAATCCCAGCTACTCGGCAGGCTGAAGTAGAAGAATCGCTTGAACCGGGGAGGCAGAGGTTGCAGTGAGCCGAGATTGTGCCACTGCACTCCAGCCTGGGCAACAGAGTGAGACTCCATCTCAAAAAAAAAATAATAATAATAAATAAATAAACAGGATTGTCTTTATCTTCCCAGCAGCCTCAGCATTGACCACAATAGTTAGAAGTTATAAATGAGTAATTAAAGGCAAAAATCTGGTCCTAAGCCAAGAGAACCACCCTCCCCTGATGAATAAAAAATGAGGTAAACAGTTCTCCAATATTTCTCCACTTTATTAACGCTGACCACCATATTTATGTATCTAAACATTTTTTATAAGTTTTCAGTGGTGTTTAGATTCTGAATTATTTTTCCATAATTAATTAGGCACGTTGGTTTGTATTTTATAGAGAACACATCTTTAGGACACAGATAAGAACAAGTATAATTTGCAAATATTACAAAGATGATTTCCAAATCTCAGTTGACCTCTTTCCCAACTGCAAACCCTCATTTAGTCTTTAGTGACAACAGAGACCAAAAACAACCACCCACACATCTCATGTGAGATTCTGGTGGCTTAGAAATCCCTGAAAGAGCAGTAAACTGATTATTGAAAAGCTCAGAACACTGGCAAGGCTTAAGTGCAAACTATTTAATAGAAGGCCACAAGAACTGTTTTCCTAAGAGGAGCTAGGAACTACAAATGTCATTTAGTAATGCATTGAAATGGCATTGCCTAGTGTGAGTGTTGCACAGAAACTTCAGGTCACTTCTTCTGGATCTATTATTTTGGATAAGCTTCCACTATCATAGCATGGCCCTGTAAAGAAAACAAAGTCCAATTAGAGCAATGAATGGTGATGAATCCACCTAGTACAGGGACAGCAGAGAACAAGGAGAAAAGTACAGGCTTTGGAGTGGGATCCTGGCTCTGCCAATCAATCACTGTGATCTTGGGAAAGTTTGTAGTCAGTCTAAACTGGAATTTCCTCTACAAAATGGGGCTCATAGTGTCTACTTCATAGAGTTTTTGTGGGCATCACATAACATACAGTATATTTGTATATGTGTGTATATATATACACACACATATATATTTATATACATTCATATATACATGTATACATATATGCATCAGGCTCTGTCTAGTACAGAATCTAATTCCTAGTGATGCTCTACAAATGGATGCTGTTAAAATGAGAAATCCAGGGGCTTTTTTAACTGTATAAACATAAACATGATACAGCAAATACCAATAAAAGTAAGTTTCTAGAGGGGAAAACTGAGGCTCTGAAAGGTTAAGTGACTCACCCAAATCACAAAGCTATTAAGGTAACAGGGCCAGGATTTGAAACCAGGTCTAGATGATTCCAAAGGCTGGGCTTGTCCCTTCTTCACTATTCTACACAGGTTAAGATAATGATCTGAGGGACCACAAAGGGAAGAAGTAGAATATCTTTCTTTTTTTATTTTTTTTATTTATTATTTTGGAGACCGTGCCTCGCCGTTGCCCAGGCTGGAGTACAGTGACGCGATCTCAGCTCACTGCAAGCTCCGCCTCCCGGGTTCACGCCATTCTCCTGCCTCAGCCTCCCGAGTAGCTGGGACTACAGGCGCCCGCCACCACGTCCGGCTAATTTTTTGTATTTTTAGTAGAGATGGGGTTTCACCGTGTTAGCCAGGATGGTCTCGATATCCTGACCTCGTGATCTGCCTGCCTCGGCCTCCCAAAGTGCTGGATTACAGGCATGAGCCACTGTGCCCGGCCAGAAGTAGAATATCTTTTATCCAGCACTATGCACAGTGCTATGTACTAGCTATGTCCTTAGTTTAGATGAGTCTAAATCCTAGCATAGAATTTTTAGACACCCTCTAAAAAACAAAAAAGTAAATAAAAGAAACTATTATTTACAAAGTGCCAAGTTGAACACTGCAGGTTTAAAGATTTGCCACATGGTCTTTGTCCTCAATCAAGTATACACTGGAGTTCAAAACAAACTGTTAAGTACTTGGTTTTTCTGTTTTTTTTGAAACAGGGCCTCCCTCTGTCACCCAGGCTGGAGTGCAGTGGCCTGAACACGGCTCACTGCAGCCTCAACCTCCCGGGCTCAGGTGATACTTCCACCTCAGCCTCCCGAGTAGCTGGGACTACAGGCACCCACCACCACGCCCAGCTAGTTTTTGTATTTTTAGTAGAGATGGGGTTTTGCCATGTTGTCCAGGATGGTCTCGAACTCCTGAGCTCAAGCAATCTGCCCACCTCAGCCTCCCAAAGTGCTAGGATTACAGGCATGAGCTACCACACCTGGCATGTTAAGTACATTGAAAAGGCACAAGCAGACAAAAAAAGAGCAGGGATAGGAAGGTTTGACTGACTTGGGGGTTGTCCTGAAAGAATTCATAATAAGGTAGACTACTCCTCTCTGGCTTGCTTATTTTATTTTTTATTTATTTTAATTTCTTTATTTGCTTTTTGAGACAAGGCAACTCTGTCACCTAGGCTAAAGTGCAGTGGCGTGAATACAGCGCACTACAGCCTCAACATCCCGGGCTCAAGCAATCCTCTCACCTCCCTCCTGAGTAACTGGGACCACAGGTGCGTACCATCATACCTGGCTAATTTTTGTATTTTTGGTAGAGACGAGGTTTTGCCATGTTGCCCAGGCTAGTCTCGAATTCCTGCGTTCAAGCCACCCAGCTGCCTTAGCCTCCCAAAATGCTGCGATCACAGGCATAAGCTACCGCACCCAGCCCTCTCTGGCTTTATTTTAAACACACTGTTTTCATGTTCCATGTTTTTTCTTGCTCTAGATCAGATTTGGCAACACCTGGAGATACTTTTGGTTATACCAACCGTGTGTACCTGGGGCAGAGGTGGGGAGGAGCTTGTTGCTACTGCTATCCGATGGGTAGAGGCCATGCTAAACACCCTACAACACACAGCCCCCCAAAACAAAGAATTGTTTGGCCCAAAATGTTAGTGCCAAAGTTGAGAAACCCTGCTCTAGATTCACCACGATGGATTTCTCCTCTGTCTCCAACCATGTTGGTATTGCTCACGTGGCTCTTGATCAAACAATGTCAAGTTTAATCTAGTTTCTCAGATGCATCTTATCTTCTCTCTTCATACTATAAACTTCTAGAAGAAAGGTGCTAGGTATTATTCCTTGTTCATCCATAAAAGCATCCAGTATTGTGTTATTTATACTCTACATGCTAGATAAAGAATTAGGGAACACATACTCAAATCTGCAGACATTACCCTATGTGGATTACGCACTATGCTCGTGAGTAATGTGTACAGGTTATCTCCCTGGTAGAAGCCTGGCATGAAGAGATAGAGGGATCGCTCTAGTCTTAATGGACCATGGTTTTCTGTAGATGAAGTTACACAGATTAAAAAGCATTTGTGATCATAAAGTCCAAAATGTTCCAACTGATAAATAACTGACCCCTTGGTTTCTGCAAAGTCTCTGAGGAAAATCCATGAAAAAGGGCTTTTAAACGTAAGATTTATTTCATTTACTTTATTTTTGAGACAGAGTCTCTCTCTGTCACCAGGCTGGAGTGCAATGGCGCCATCTCGGCTCACTGCAACCTCCACCTCCCGGGTTCAAGCGATTCCCCTGCCTCAGCCTCCTGAGTAGCTGGAATTACAGGCGCACACCACCACACTAGGCTAGTTTTTATAATTTTAGTAGAGACAAGGTTTCACCATGTTGGCCAGGCTGGTCTCGAACTCCTGACCTCAAGTGACCTACCCGCCTCAACCTCCCAAAGTGTTGGGATTACAGGCGTGAGCCACTGCACCCGGCCAGTTTATGCTTTTAAATATTTATTCATTTTGATCAGGAACAGGAAGTTTCTGTAATCTAGAGGAAGAGAAAATCTGTTCACATCGGGATTAAAAAAAAAAAAAAAAAACAAAAACAGGCCAGGCACAGTGGCTCATGCCTGTAATCCCAGCACTTTGGGAGGCTGAGGTAGGCGGATCACCTGAGGTCAGGAGTTCGAGACCGGCCTGGCCAATACGGTGAAACCCCGTCTCTACTAAAAATACAAAAAAAATTGCCCGGGCTTGGTGGTGAGCACCTGTAATCCCAGCTACTCAGGAGGCTGAGACAGGAGAATCGCTTGAACTCGCGAGGCAGAGGTTGCAGTGAGCCGAGGTGGCACCACTGCACTCCAGCCTGGGGGACAGAGTGAGACTCTGTCTCAAAAAACAAACAAACAAAAAACAAACTACAATCTTCCTTTTGGATTTTATTCCTAGAGTGAGATGCTACAGCAGTCAGGAAGTTGGGTCTCTAATGCAAGTGAAGTAGAAAGGAAAAAATCTGTCAACAATATATTTCCCCAGCTGAACAGCAGTAAGTTATCCAGAAGTAAATTAACTCCCCAGTTAAGGTATAATTCAGTTCTCTAGAAAGATAGTTTCTCTCTTGGAGAGATTTTATAAAGTCTTATGGTGACTAGATAAATAAAAGTTAATTATTAAAGAAGAAAATATATCAAGATGTTAATAATGTTAATGTCTGATGGGGAGATTATAGATGATTCTAACTTTTTCTATATACTTTTCATATATTCCACAATTTTCATAATCAGCATATATTTATAAGTAAAAAATAAACATTATATTGGGGAAAAATAGCTTGGGTTTAAATAGCTGTTTCCTTCCAAAGAATTATCAGAATTATGGCAGGGCATGGTGGCTCATGCCTGTAATCACAGCACTTTGGGAGGCCAAGGAGGGTGGATCACTTGAAGTCGGCAATTCGAGACTAGCCTGGCCAACATGGCGAAACTCTGTCTCTACTAAAAATACAAAAATTAACTGGACATGGTGGTGCACACCTGTAATCTCAACTGCTCGGGAGGCTGAGGCACGAGAATCACCTGAATCCGGGAAGTGGAGGTTGCAGTGAGCTAAGATATTACCACTGCATTCCAACCTGGGTGACAGAGCAAGACTGTCTCAAAAAAAAAAAAAAAAAACCCAAAAAACAAAAAGTTTTATCAGAATTACAGCTGTTATCCCTCCCCACTCCCCACCCCCAGGTCATCAAAAATATTGCTTTAAGAAGGTTTCAAACTAAATCATACATTCTAGTCATTCCAAGAAAATGACTCTCTGGAGGGTCCTATGACACCACTGTAACGTACCTGCCCTCCAGCTGCACACGCAGCCACTAAGCCATACTGGCCTCCTTCTTTCCGTAATCTGTTGGCAGCAGCCATGACCAACCTGCAGCCAGTGGCTCCAAATGGGTGTCCCAGGGACAGAGATCCACCCCAGTTATTAAACTTCTCCAAAGGAGGCAATCCAACCTGGCTCCCCCAAAGACACAAATGTAAAGATAAGTTTACTTAAGATCAGAATCAAGCTAGGCTCTTAGTACTACGAAGTAAGAGAGATAGAGGAAAATACGTAACGTCAGACATATTACAAATAATTTTACTGCAAAAGAAAGTAAGTCTAGGTCAATATTAAAAGTCAGGAGTCCATTTATTTTTCATCTAATGTCAGAATGCAAGGAACAAAAAACACAGAATTTTATTTTTGCTAAATAATTTCTATTTTTAAACTAAGAAATAAATATATTTAATGAAATACAAGAATTTCTACTTTTACACTAAGAAATAAATATCTTTAATGAAAGACAAAATTCTTCAAAAGAAAGAGAAGCTTTCCCTTCATATTCTTAAGAACAGGTAACTAAGATCCAATTATTAACGTGCTTTGAAAATTCACGCATTTTTTAAAATTAGAAACTCACCTTGGTTTTTCTACCCATGTAGTTTTCTGCAAACCAATCAGAATCCATGGCTTTAAAATTTGCCAAAATCTGACCCTGGAAGAGAAAATAATCGAATAAGAACCTCGTTATTCATGTTCCTCTACGCTTTCTTATAGGAATGGTTTGTGAAAGTTTAACAACTTTAGGTATGGTTTAAAGTTGAACAAATCGGCCAGGCACAGTGGCTCACATCTGTAATCCCAGCACTTTGGGAGGCCAAGGCGGGTGGATCATCTGAGGTCAGGAGTTCAAGACCAGCCTGACCAATATGGTGAAACCCTGTCTCTATTAAAAATATAAAAAAAATTAGTCGGGCATGGTGGCAGGCGCCTGCTTGTCCCAGCTACTCGGGAGGCTGAGACAAGAAAATTGCTTGAACCTGGAAGGCGGAGGTTGCAGTGAGCCGAGATCGTGCCACTACACTCCAGCTGGGGCAACAGAGCAAGACTCTGTCTCCAAAAAAAAAAAAAAAAGTAAAGTTGAACAAATCTTTGTATCAGTTTTCAATGGCAATTTCCTAAAGAAGCAATTTGGTATGTTCTCCAACACTGTATGTGTGGCCCTTGCTTCCCTCCCCTCGGGCCCCTCCCAGCAGTGTGAATCAGTACTTAAAATATGCAGGTCCACTCCTGCTCTACTCACATCATAAACCATGCCTTGCTCTCTCCCACAAATATGGATGACATTTTTTATGACTATAGTCCCTTCATATGTGTCTTTCAAATTACTTACCGAGAAAGCTTCATGAAATTCAAAAGCATCAATATCATTCATGGTCAATCCTGCCTTTTCTAGAACTTTTGGAGTAGCATATGTTGGTCTGCAAAGAAAAAATAAGTAATATCTTAAAACTTTAATTTTTAAACTAAGAGCTCCTTCATATTCCCCAAACTGAGTTTTACATAGGTACTCTAATGTCTTTTCACTCATTCTTTGATTTTTCTGTACTGATTAATGAAATGTTAAAGATAAAATAGTGAAACTGTACAGACATGCCCTCTACTCTTATGTTGCAGAGTCAGAGAAATTGATAATAAATAAACAGTGAGGGATAAGGACAAGCTAATAACATGAAGAACTGGAAGAACAGAGTTCAAAGAGCAAGGCAAGGGAAAGGGCTTGACTGATGTGAACGTCACAGTGGAGGCTAGAGGCTACAGCCTTGTGAGGGAACGGAACAGAGTCTAAACATGGGGAGGCTTTTATAAAAGGCTATATTAGGAAGATTGTGTAGCAGGGTGTGTAGCCATATGAAAAAATGCATATGCTATCTTAATGAAAAAGAATATAAGTTGTGTGTGTCCATATATATATGTAAAACTTATAGGAAAAAAATGGAAAATAATCCAAAACTGTAACATGATATACCAATGGAAAGGATTACTACTATTTTATTTATTTATTTATTTTTTTGAGATGGAGTCTCGCTCTGTCGCCCAGGCTGGAGTGCAGTGGCGTGATCTTGGCTCACTGCAAGCTCTGCCTCTCGGGTTCATGCCATTCTCTTGCCAAAACCTCCCGAGTAGCTGGGACTACAGGCGCCCGCCACCACGCCTGGCTAATTTTTTGTATTTTTAGTAGAGATAGGGCTTCACCGTGTTAGCCAGGATGGTCTCAATCTCCTGACCTCGTGGTCTGCCCACCTCGGCCTCCCAAAGTGCTGGGATTACAGGCGTGAGCCACCGTGCCCGGCCAGATTACTATTATTTTTTTTAAAAAAACCACCACATAAACCAATTATGAACTCAGGGCTTAATATACTCTCAAACCAGTGTAATAAACAAATAAATAATAAACCAGTGTTAATCATTTATTAACCAGTATAATAAAACATAGGCAATCAAATACTTGTGATTATAGTCCAAGGATACAAACTGCTACCTACCCAAGTAATAGTTGATCTTTTGGATCCTGAGACACATACATAAAATCCCTAGGTAAAAAAATAGAGAGGTGAGCTTTGGTAATAAAATAAAGAAATCAGAGATGATTTGTTTGAACATTTACTTTACCTCAAATATGCCTTCGGCTTATAACCCATGGCCAGAGCCTTTTCCTCCGCCATGATTAACATTGCAGATGCACCATCAGTCTGAAATGTTAACCAGCACAATGTTAAAATTCTTCAGCCTGTCTGGAGGTCTTTCTCCAGCCATCTTATATATCTGTACCTGAATCTATTAACTCATTAGACTTATACAGTGATTCTATATAACAACACTTACTTCACTGTATCCATCATTAAATCATAATTCAAACATACACACGCTGACTCATTTTTGGAGGATGAGGGTAGAGAAGGCTGTTCAAAAGTATCATAATAATCAAAATGAATCAACAGAAGAGGTAACTTTAGAAATAAATGCTCATGGCCAAGCGTGGTGGCTCATGCCTGTATGCCTGTAATCCCAGCACTTTGGGAGGCTGAGGCGGGCAGATCATGAGGCAGGTGATTGAGACCATCCTGGCTAACGCGGTGAAACCCCATCTCTACTAAAAATAGAAAAACTTAGCCAGGTGTGGTGGCACACACCTGTAGTCCCAGCTACTTGGGAGGCTGAGGCTGAGGCAGGAGAATTGCTTGAACCTGGGAGGCGGAGGTTGCAGTGAGCTGAGATCGTGCCACTGCATTCCAGCCTGGGTGACAAAGCCAGACTCTGTCTCAAAAAAAAAAAAAAAAAAAAAGAAAGAACTGCTCATAATAAACACTAAACACTTATTTAAGCCAAAGTTTTTAGCTTGTGGCACAAAATATGAACCAAAATAAACATATCTCTTATTTATTTATTTTTACATTTTCTGGGCTCTCAGCTGCTTTCTGCCCGTGGCTTACAGGTCATTTTATTCTACTTATATATTCTGTAACGAGCAAACCAATGGGAGAACCAGCTGAGGACATTAGAACCACAATCTTCCCTCTTTGGATACACCCCATACATTTCTTCCCAAATGACAACCGAGAAGCTGGAGGACAAAGAAGTACTACTGAAAAAACGTCCTTTACCATACTTCAAAGAAGAAAAGCTCCCCCAAAAACTTCAGAATTCCAAAGAAAAGGAAACTATTCTTCATAATTTGTAAAATCAAAATAAGTTCTACCACATTCTGTCGTATTTTTATAACTCGGCAACCCTGAAGAGACTGTGTAGCCACCAATAGGGTGTCCATAAAGTCTGGAGACATAGGTGACCATATGGAATAAATGGTTTACAGACATTACATTAATAACAGGTTCAATGTGCCATTGTGCAAAATTGCAATGAATGTGGGGCACTAATGCAGTCCCCAAAATCCATGTATTGTGATGTGTCACCTCTGATGATTTGTGTCTCTGATTCTCACTAAATAAACCTGGACCTTTAGCATACCCTGGAAATAATCAAAAGGATTCAGATCTGGCAAGTGTAGTCCATGCCACATGGCTCTATCATCCAATTCGGTTTTGCAAATGACCAACCTAACCAGCTCTTCACCACCTGGGCTTAACAGGGTGGTGTTCCATCCTGTTGGAACTACTCCAGATTCCACTCCCCTAGCCTATCAAGAGCAGGCATTAATTAGTCATTTACCATGGGCAAATATGTCAAACATCTGCGTATGTTTTCAAGACTTTATGGCCAGGTAGGAGAGTTACATTGTAAGAGAAACTCTGACCAGATGGCCTATATCCAGAAGACTATACCCAAGGTGGTAAGAGAAGAGAAATCACATCTTACAAGCAGCAGCAGAATCAATAAAGATGTTTAATTGAGGAGTCAGAAAAGCATGGAAGGATATGAAGCTACATGTTGATAAGTTAAAAAAAAAACACAAAACAAACAGTGGTAGATTTGTTCCATGATGCTTACAGGAAAATAATATTGGGGTCAGTGTAAAGCAGTTTTCTAACAATCAGGGCTGGAAGAGGTATCCTGTTACTCTTTCTGCCTGCTTTTCCTTGTCTTCTGCGACTTCCCAGTTCATACCTTATGCTCCAACCTAACTTTTCCCCAAAGAACCCCTTGCTCTCATACTTCCTTGATTTTGCATTTGCTATTCCCTTTGTCCAAAATGCCTTTTTTTTTTTTTTTTTTTTTTTTTTTTGAGATGGGAGTTTCGCTCTTGTGCAGGCTGGAGTGCAATGGTGCGATCTTGGCTCACCGCAACCTCCACGCCTCCAGGGTTCAAGCAATTCTCTTGCCTCAGCCTCCCGAGTAGCCGGGATTAACAGGCATGTGCCACCACATCTGGCTAATTTTGTATTTTTAGTAGAGACGGGGTTTCTCCATGTTGCTCAGGCTGGTCTCGAACTCCTGACCTCAGGTGATCTGCCTGCCTCAACCTCCCAAAGTGCTGGGATTACAGGCGTGAGCCACCGCACCCGGCCTGAAATGCCTTTTAAAATCCTTCCTGAGTTGGCTTTTACTCTTCCTTCAAGATTTGCTGCTCAAGTGTTACCTCTTCCAAGAAGACTCTCTGACTGTCCCCCCATCTGGGTCAGGGGTTCGACCTAAGCCTTACAGCCATCACAGCATCTCACTATATTGCAATTGTCTATTCTTTTCATTTCCAGGGCCCACCATAAGCAATAGAAGTTTTTGACTGGTTAAGTGCCTGAAAGGAAGAGCTTTTGTGGCAGAATGGTGGCTGGATTAGGTGACTTCTCGGGCCTTAAAACCGTGATTCTATTTTTTTTTTAATGACTCCACTTTCACATTAAAATGAAT
Source organism: Homo sapiens (assembly GCF_000001405.40). NCBI lineage: Eukaryota > Metazoa > Chordata > Mammalia > Primates > Hominidae > Homo > Homo sapiens. Next base: position 26,280,230 of record NC_000002.12, on the reverse strand, counting down.
AACTATATTTTTAACCCTCTATTCATAACACACACAAAAAGTTATATTAGGCTTTTCTACAGAGAGTACAGAAATAGAAAAGTCACTACTAAATACAAATAACATTGACAGTTACCAAGAAAGAAGAATTTGCAGCTGTCACTGTGCCGTAGGGCTTGATGAATGCAGGTTTTAGTTTGGCCATCTGCTCCAGTGAGGAAGGACGGATGCCATTATCTTTGGTAACTGTATCTTTTCCTATTAAAAAAATGAATTTTTTTAACTCTATGGAACCACAAGCCTTATATATCTTCTCCACAGAAATATGCTTTAAAAATTACAAAAACAAATGAAATATAAACCTTACCTATTCACTAGAAGGAAAGTGTTTTATAATTATCATATTATCAAATTTTAAACTAAAGTCTTAAAAGACAATTGGGAAATCATCTAAATGCTTTACTAAAAATAGGACACCCTATTTTCTTAAGACATTCATTCACAGTTGGCTATTCTATACAGAAGTCAGACGATTCAGGAATTTTAAAAACAGGCATGTATGTAAGAACTAAAATATATCAGCAAGATCTAAAAGGAGACTCTGTTTTTCTTTTTTTTTTTTTTAATTAGAGATGAAGTCTCACGCTGTTGACCAGGCTGGTCTTGAACTCCTGGCCTCAAGCGATCCTCCTGCCTCAGCCTCCCAAAGTGCTGAGATTAGTGCTCAGATCTTAAAAGGACACTCTTATAGAAACATTAAAAAATGTTAACCTATTGTTACAACATAAATCAAAATTTGCATCCATATTTAAGAATAAAGGCTGAATACTTTGGAAACAGAACCAACATACTTATGGAAAAATCACTCGGGATGTTTTTGAGTTTTAGGAGCAATTCAGAACTCCCTAATAAGTGTCATGAAGCATTTCATTTCACCTGGTACTTTGAAGGGTACCACATCAGAAAGGAGTCCTTCATCCTGTGCCTTCTTGGCTAGACTGTGAGAGCGCAGTGCATATTCATCCTGTTCCAGCCGAGAAACAGCAAAGGCAGCGGCCAGTCGGTCTGCAGAGTGGCCCATGGTCTCACTGGTGGAGAACTCAGAAACCGCAGGGAGCTGGGAAAGGAGATATCCAAGGAGCAGGTACACTGTTAACCGGTGTTATGCTAACACCTAGGATTGTTCTGTGTTATTTGGAAAAGTTAAAATCTATTTGTCTACCATTAATCAATCAAGTCCAAGACAAGCAGAGGATCTCTAAAGAGGATCTCTAAAGAGGGCTCACAAATTAAAGTTTTCTAACCACTATCTTTTTTTTCCATCTTGAGCAAGTAATTAACCCTTTCCTGTAACTACAGAATCTACACCTATTACAGCATAGCAGAGTCCACACTGCCATACCTAATTCTAAATCTCTGCAGTGGGATGCCCTGCAAACACAAGCCTTACCTCAGGTGCTAGGAAATTAAATCGGAATTTAGAGATTAAAGACAGTCGCTGGCCCATAGATTTGGCCTTATTGAGATCAAGCATCAGTTTTCTCATTTTCCTTGAGTGACGAATAGGGACATCGGACATCAACTCAACACCACCTGCCACGATCACATCACACTGGCCAGAAGCAATCAAGCCAACACCTACAGGGCACAGGTTATACTTCATGAATATCTTTTACAGAAAATAACATACCATTCCAATTTAAGCTTCTTGATTAAAAAGCTGAATGACAGTTATCAGCTTTGTACAACATCTGTAATTAAAGTTTTCAACTTTTCAGAAGAATTAAGGTAATTTTCTTAAATGACTAAAAACACATTCAACACGTTAGAGAAAAACAAGTTTCATTCCTGCCATATGGACGTCAACTTCTAGGAATATCCATTGGACCAACTCTTGAACAAATCATATTCCAAACCAGAACATCTTGCATATTTATATGCTCCCAGCTTTAGTTTTAATAAAGATTTTTTATCCTATAAAGAGAATGTTAACTTCTGCTGCAAAGCAGAGAAATTACAGCTGTTGAAACGTAAGGCAGGCCCCCTCTCTCCTTATGGCCACTGGCCAGTATTCTGTTTCTCTAACCAGGAGTTGGTCACATGCTGCCTAGAGTGGCGAACGCCCCCAGTCACGGGCATCATTCCCCGCCACACATGAGGTGGGGTGCCCACCTGGGCCTTGATGTTACTAGATGAGCACATGATTACTAAATCTTTCAGGCTTCCTTGCCTCCTCACACTAAGAGCTGATGCTACAAAATATCCCACAGTTTTGCTAAAGTTTGTTAGTGGGGTTTTCAGTGATTTATAAAAATGACAAGGATGTAAGGAGAAAGTGAAGGAAAGAGCTGTGCCATCTAAAGCAATGATTTACAAGTATGGTAGTGGTGAAGGAAGGAAGACCATATCTTTGTGGGAAAATATCATATCTGAAGCACCTAGGTTGAAAGCCTGGCAGGTTGTAAACTATTTACTCATGCCTCAGATGCTGAAGTACCTTCCTAGAGATACACTCCTCCAGTTGATAATCCCTGCTGCAGCCAGCCACATTATTCACAGAGGAACCACGCCAATGGTAATGTTCCTCAGGTATGGAGAGCAAAAAAAGAGGTTAACTACGGTTAGAACCCCCAAATTTTAAACCTGACCTTACTTTTTAAAAAACACAAGTATAGAGATCTGTGCTAATCTTTTACTTCTGTTAAGAGTACTTTTTGGGATGAGCATGGTGGCTCACGCCTGTAATCCCAGCACTTTGGAGGCTGAGGTAGAAGGATCACTTGAGGCCAGAGGTTTAAGACCAGCCTGGGCAACATGGCGAGATCCCGTCTCCACAAAAAATTTAAAAATTAGCTGGGTGTGGTGGAGCACCTGTAGACCCAGCTACTTGGGATCCTAAGGCAGGATGATCTCTTGAGCTCAAGAGTTTGAGCCTGCAGTGAGCTATGATGGTACCACTGCACTCCAGCCTGAGTGACAGAGTGAGGTTCTGTGTTAAAAAAAAAAAAAAAAAAAAAAGTACATTTTTATAATCAAGTAAAAGACAAAGGAGAATAATTAACATGTACTGTCTGTTTCCATTTAAACATACCTGTGGTCATGGCTTGGTTGGCAGAGATACAAGCCATGGTGACAGTGTGAGCAGGAGTCTTGTCAGAGAAGCCAGCTCCAAGGGCAGCCTTTAGGAAATAGAGTGAATGAAATGATCACTATAAGGGAAGGGCATCATGTAAATGATGCTTTGAGCACTAATCTTCATAGTCATCTGGAAACGGTTTCAGTTTAACATTCTCCAGAGCAATATTTAAAATCAAATGAAGTCCATCACAGAAATGGTTCACTAATATTTAATCTTGCCATTAATTGACAGGTATATGCAAAATTCCTGCTGGCTGGTTTCTAGTGCAGACACGAGGCTATGATACTCTCCTAACTCACCTAATTTCTTATCGATGTTTTGCTCAGGGCCTTCAAGAATATCAATATATAATTTGATTTTAACTTGTTTAATGTTCAAATATACTTAAAAGAACCTATTAAAGACAGTTGCTGGAATGATGATGAAATATATTATGGGGTGGAGTCCTCACTATCTGTGTTATCAGGTCTCATGATCAGTCACAAAGCTTAGCAGCAAAGCAAAAGTGATTAAACATGAAAATGATTTCTAAAGAACTGACCCTTCATAAACAGAGTTCCCACTCAAGACCCTGTCTGCTTTACACCTATCTTTCTGCTCACTGCCAGCTGGTTTCTCTTACTGACCGTCTGATACTTCAGATAGCACACTGCAGACCCAATGCAAAGATGAACTGGAAAACTTGCCAACTATACAGAAGCTCAACTCAATGAAAGAAACTGGAGAATTGCCTGAGTTACAAGTGAGTCTGTGAACAAATAAGGGTCAGACCAACTAACAAGTGGCCAGGATGATGGCATAATACGTGATACAAAGAGAATAATTTGTCATCTGAGCGGCTTTAAGAAAAACTGAGGTCATTATTAATCTTTTAAAAATGGCCTCTATTATAATGGCACAGTGAAAGTCAAACATGAAATGAGCACATCTATAATTTTATTATACTATTTATTGGGGGAAATTATGCTGTCAAAAACCAATCAACGTCTGATTCCATTTTTGTTTATGTAAATAATTAATGCACAGGTGCAATTATAAAATACTTATTTTTATAATATTAAAGTTTTACTTTAGAAATAAAGCTTCCAGATTTCCTCCCACATACACACCCACACAATATTTACTATGAAATACTGGATCCCATTATAGGGAATTCATTTTTAGTATTCTTTCCCTGAAACTATTAATTATCCTCAGAACACACTCTCCTATAATTTAGTAAAATAAATGTTTCCAAAGTCTCAATTAGAAATTCAATGTCTCTTAACTGATTTTTACCTTTATACTTACTTACTTTTATGCTATTTACCATAATCTATAGAAACAGAAATGTGTTAGTGATGTAACTGCAACATGACCTCATTCTGGTCTTTCCAGGTAGGCCTGATACTAAATGCCCAACCTGCTTTGTTGAGAACTTCTGCCAGGCACCTGTGCATCAGCCTCTCAACGTAAACCAATCCGAAAGGAAGAGAGACGCAAGTATCTCAGGGGGGCAGGAGGGAAGAGCTCTGCAAAGGGCAAGTGTAAAAGGGGCACTTAGGTTGCAATGGCTCGATTCTCACAAGGGCCTTTCTAATTTGTGTTGCCCTTGGCCCTAGATGACTCTCAGGACGGAAGGAGCTTTAAATAGAGGTGGCTATTGGTGACCCTTGTCCACACACTTCTATTGAAATTTGAATAGCTCTCAGGGCACTAAGGGAAAAGGAGGAAGATGTCTTTAAGCTGGAGAACAGGGAAATATGCTGAACCTTTCAACAAAGTCAGGTTCATGAACACCAGGAGCCTTTTAGGACTGTATATTAACATTATTAATACAGGCAATAGGGCCTAAGAAACTCTTTGGCTGAAAATTATGTTAGCTTTTAGGTTGCAAGGACTGTATATTAACATTATTAATACAGGCAATAGGGCCTAAGAAATTCTTTGGCTGGAAATTATGTTAGCTTTTAGGTTGCAATACAGCTTTAGAGTGACATTCTCATAATGTATCCCCCTCAACCCAATCTCTCCCTGCAGATGCTGCAAAAATTACCTGGAGCACAACATAACTGGTATTAGTACAGGGCAGGCAGAGGGAATCTACCTCCTGTCAATCAATAGCTGAGATCTGCAAATGGATGTAAAATTTCCAGGAAAAATTTCAGAGGAAAACATTATGGCTTTAGTTTTAGGAAAAAAAGAACTGAATTACAGAGAAAATGGAAACATTTATTTTTATTTATTTATTTTTTTATTTTTTGAGGAGGAGGAGAAGGAAGAAAGGATGGGATAAAAAGCTGAGCAAGAGGAGAAAACAGCAAAAAAATTTACTATTTACATCTTAAGTGCTCTTATAAAAGTAATAGGTTATTTTCAGAATATAAAAGTTGAAAATGTATTATGAGCAGCTTGATGTACTCATGAAATTATCATATTTGAAACATTCAGAAATGTCAAGGTTCAAGGAAAAACAAAAAATTTCAGAAGGGAAATAAAATCTCTTCCTATTGTTAATTCCTTCCTGCCCCTCAACAGCACACAGTTAGTTTCGTAGGCTTCAGTCATGCCAGGCCTTTGGCAGTTCTAACATTTCTGCCAGGTACAGAGGTGGAACAGAACAAATACTTTCAGTCCTGCTCATGTGCCCTTGTCTCTCAGTTGACAGTGATACTGAACCCAACAATATGGCAAGCACAGACCAGAACTAGGGAAAATACTGAGTACAATGAAATGTGCTTTTGGTGCCAACTTCATCCAATCGATTTTAAATGAAAACACAGCCCAGAAGACGTGTTTGGATTTGCCTGTAGGACACATCCTAGAAGTTCCAAGGCCTGTCATTATCTTGGTTGCCCAATCGACACTACATGGAGCTATGCCAACTAGGGCAAAAGTAAACTCCTGTGAAATAGTTTTTAAAAAGCCAAGCTGCCTTACGTGCCATCTAGTTGATGGGAACAAATGAGTAAGCAAGGCTACTTCCAGCTAACAAAAGTCAAGTTATGAAATTAGTTCTCTGCAACATGTTGAAATTTTAAATTAATTGGAAGCCATGATATCTAACATTACTAAAAATACTATCAGCCACACTTTGCTGATCTCTATTTTCCTAACACAAGAGACAATGTCCTAAACCAGCTCAAATAATTTATTTGATTTACAGTAAAGTATGGATATACACTAATATAGTGTATGTCATTTGATTTATATTAGAATTCTTTTACATATTAAATAACACATTACCCAAGCTGTAAAATCACATTTTAGGTCAAATGTAACTCAATAGATTTTAAAGGCTTTTGTAAAGTAACTTCTATTAATTGAAATTCAAAGTGATTCTCCTATCACTCTTTAAACAACATAAAGTTTGTTTTACTCACCTCTCTAGCCACATTGCTTGTTTTCACTTCCTGAATAACTGTACCAAAGATGATATAATCAACTACTTCCTTAGGGACACTGGTCCGATGCAACAAACCCCTGGAAGTAGAAATCCAAAGCAAAGAAACATTTCACACATCAAGGCAGTGCCAGAGATCATCACACAAAACACTGCGCTCCTTGAAAAAGGTTAGCCTTGAATTTAAAAGGACAGAGACTGTATCTTTTCTTTAATTTGACAAGCATTTGGCACCTTCTCAAAGAAGAAATGAATGAAAGAGTGATTTTAAAAGTCAACATTTGATGCTGAATTGGTAATGAGAAGTTAGAGAATAAAAAATAATTTGGAATAGAATAAAATAGATAAGAAACCTATAAATTAATGTTAATTAATGTTAGTAGAAACCAAAGTTTGCAGTGAAAAAGAGAGACAAATATTCAATCAAAGAGATAAAGCAAAGTCTCCCTTAAGACTATTAAAAAAAATTAAAAAAAAAGAAGTCCTGGGTATGTTAAATTTTAGTTTGAAATATCAGTATCAACAAATGATTGAAATAATACATATATTCTAGTTGTGCCCATGAATAGAAACTAGACACAATAACACTCCAGTAGGAATGAGCACTCCCTGAACCCAGACTTGGTTTCCTTTTTTTTTTTTTGAGATAAGAATCTTGCCCTTTCACCCAGGCTGGATGGAGTGTACTGGCACAATCTCGGCTCACTGCAACCTCCACCTCCTGGGTTTAAGTGGTTCTCTCACCTCAGCCTCCTGAGTAGCTGGGGCTACAAGCGCCTGCCATGATGCCTGGCTTATTTTTGTATTTTTAGTAGAAACAGGGTTCACCATGTTAGCCAGGCTGGTCTCGGACTCCTGACTGCAAGTGATCCACCAGCCTTGGCCTCCCAAAGTGCTGGGATTATAGGTGTAAGCCACTATACCCGGCCCCAGATTTGGTTTCTAAATGCCATTCCCCATTAAAAGGACAAAAGGTTTTTTAAGAAATGACTGATACCAGGTCCAGAAGAAAGTACAAAGTGAATTTCCATCTTTTTTGTGCCAAAAGTAAGGAAGCACTCAAAGACAAATGGGACCATATCAGCCGGGCACAGTGGTTTAAGCCTGTAATCCTAGCACTTTGGGAGGCCGAGGCAGGCGGATCACTTGAGGACAGGAGTTCGAGACCAGCCTGGCTAACACAGCAAAACCCCGTCTCTACTAAAAATACAAAAAAAATTAGCCAAGACTGGTGGCATGTGCCTGTAATTCCAGCTACTCGGAAGGCTGAGGCAGGAGAATTGCTTGAACCTGGGAGGCGGAGGCTGCAGTGAGCCGAGATCGTGCCACTGCACTCCAATTTGCGCAACAAGAGCGAAACTCTGTGTCAAAAAAAAAAAAAAAAGACAAATGGGACCATATCAAAAACAGGAACACGGGGTATATACATTTGTCAAAACTCATCAAACTATACACTTAAAATCTGTGCACTTTATTGCATGCAAATTATATATCAACAACCAGCATTATACTAAAAAACAAAAGGCACACAGGAGCCAACTTGAAGGAGTGCCAGATAAAATGTGGAATAAGCTGAGCTTCAAAATGAGTAATGACTAAACTTGGCTACAATGAAATAAATAAATAAAAATCTGTAAAATCTGTAGTTTTTTATCAATTAAAAAAACTAAAAAGAGGGTTAGAAACATTGGCTTACGCCTATAGTCCCAGTTACCTGGGAGGCTTCGAGGTTGCAGTGAGCTATGATCAAGCAACTGCACTCCAGCCTTGGACAGAGTGAGACTCCATACAGAAAAAAATAAATTAAAAATTTAAAAAAAATTTTTTTTTTGAGACAAAGTCTTGCTCGATTGCCCTGCCTGGAGTCTAGTAGTGGAATCATAGCTCACTGCAACCTTCAACTCCTGAGCTGAATTCTCTTGGTTGGCTAATTTTTAAAATTTTTTTTTGTAGAGATGGAGTCTTACTATGTTGCTTAGGCTGGTCTCAAACTCCTGGGCTCAAAAGATCCTCCTACCTTGATCCTCCTGCCTTGGTTTCCTAAAGTGCTGGGATTATAGGTGTAAGACACCATGCCTAGCTAGTAGATGAGATTTTTAAAGGAAAATATGCATACAGAGAAATGCAAAGCTCTAAGGAATGAAACTTGCAAAACACCTTTCAAAAAGAGAAAGAGGGAGAGATCCAGTTGTGTGTGTGTGTGGTTTTTTATTTTTATTTTTTGAGACGGAGTTTTGCTCTTGTTGCCCAGGCTGGAGTGCAATGGCGTGATCTCGGCTCACTGCAACCTCTGCCTCCCAGGTTCAAGGGATTCTCCTGCCTCAGCCTTCCAAGTAGCTGGCATTACAGGCATGTGCTACTACGCCCAGCTAATTTTGTATTTTTAGTAGAGATGGGGTTTCTCCATGTTGGTCAGGCTGGTCTTGAACTCCCGACCTCAGGTGATCTGCCCACCTCAGCCTCCCAAAGTGCTGGGATTACAGGAGTGAGCCACCGTGCTTGGCCCAGTTTTTTTTTTTTAAGCTAGAGAAGAATCGGCCGGGCGCAGTGGCTCACACCTGTAAGCCCAGCACTTTGGGAGGCCGAGGAGGGCGGATCACGAGGTCAGGAGATCGACACCATCCTGGCTAACACAGTGAAACCCCGTCTCTACTAAAAATACAAAAAAAAAAAAGAAAAAAAAAATTAGCCGGGCATGGTGGCAGGCGCCTGTAGTCCCAGGTACTCGGGAGGCTGAGGCAGGAGAATGGCGTGAACCCGGCAGGCAGAGCTTGCAGTGAGCCGAAATCACGCCACTGCACTCCAGCCTGGGTGACAGAGCGAGACTCCGTCTCAAAAAAAAAAAAAAAAAAGCTACAGAAGAATCAGTCAGGATACAGAAGAAAAAGAAAAATCATAAAGGCATATTACTAAGAAGTCAACAGAAGAGAGGTGATTATAGCTTACAGTGTCAAGTGCTATAAAGTACAGAGACAGAGGACTGAGAAAGGATCAGTACATTGAGCAATCATAAAACCATTATTAAGAGAAGATTCTAAAGTATGGTTTCTGTAAAACAAAGGGAAAATGGAAATAATGATTATACAATTAGACAGAGGAAACTAATAATAAGGAAACAGAAACAACTGCTCTTTCACTCATGCTTGAGGTATTGCAGGAAGAAAAAAAAAACAAACATAGAGTTAGAATGGACAGAAAGGTCAACTGAAGGGTTTCTCCAAACTAAGAAAGAACTGTGGCTGGTTGAAGACACAAAGGCAAAGTGTCAGTGGAAAATGAAGAGATAATGCCTTACATGTTATGAAACAGCAACACATTTAATGATTCTCAACCAAATTATTCATCCAGCCTAATCTTATTTAACTACATCTAATTTTACATTTTTACTTGGTTTGCACATGAATCTTCAGGTGTCTTTTAGGCTTCTTTCTAGGTAAATATCTACATAATCTGTTCAGCTACCCTTATACAAGTTCCTAAGGCAATCATCAAATATATGTATTGTGTTTAGGCTGATCAATCGAGTCCTGTGGCTAGCTAAGGTAGCATTAAAGTATACTGTCAGGCTAAGACACTGTTAGGCCTGCAAAATAAAGATTGACAATATTCATAAGCTGCTTAAATTTGTATAGTACAGATGGCTAAAATAAGAACAAATTGCTATTTTATGTGTAAAAACTGGAGAAAGTGCCTTTAATGAAATAAGAACGGAAATGAAACTGCATTTACTTACGTAAGCGCTGCTCTAGCCAAATCATGTGGCATCAGGTCTTTATATCTGGGGAACGAAAACCAGTAATTTAAACCAAAACCCTAGAGCTTCAATGAAAAATTTTCATTCTATTTGAAATACCCAGAGATCATCAAACACATGCTGCTACAAACACACTTAACTTTACTATCCAAGGCAGTCCATCATTTCAAATGAAGAAATAGTGTGACTTCGCTATTTGTCATCCTTAAAAGTCTAGCAAGCCTTAACTCCTCCTGAGCTTGCTAAGAATCGAACAAAAATGTTGTCCAACACCTTAATGTTCAGTATAACATATGCTAAATTTTCTTTAAAGTGAAGCCCCACCTTTGAGGTCTCTTTTCCTTTAAACATTTTATTTTAAAAGTATATTATTTATTTATTTTGTAATGCCTACAGGGCTACAGGTGATGTATTAGGACTTTTGAAGAAACTTTTTGCTTTTAAGTAACTTGAGATTTACCAAAGAATTGGAAAGAGGCCAAGCATGGTGGCTCACACCTAGAATCCCAACATTTTGGGAGGCTGAGGTGATATGACTACTTGAGGCCAGGAGTTCAAGACCAGCCTGGGTAACAGAGCAAGCAAGACCTTGTCTCTTACAAAAAATATTAAAAATTAGCCAGGCGTGGTGGCATGGATCTGTAGTCCTAGCTACTTGGGAGGCTGAGGTGAGAAGACTGCTTAAGGCCATGAATTTGAGGCTGCTAGGATCACACCACTGCACTCCAGTCTGGGCAGCAGAGCAAGACCCTGTGTAAATACATAAATAAGAATTGGAAAAAGAGAGCAGAGTTCCTCTTTCCCCCTGCTGTTTTTTTTTTTTTTTTAAGACGGAGGTTCGCTCTTGTTGCCCAGGCTGAAGTGCAATGGCGCAATCTCAGCTCACTGCAACCTCCACCTCCAGGGTTCAAGCAATTCTCCTGCCTCAGCTTCCCGAATAGCTGGGATTACGGGCACCCACCACCACGCCCAGCTGATTTTTTTGTATTTTTAGTAGAGATGGGATTTCACCATGTTGGCCACGCTGGTCCTGAACTCCTGACCTCAGGTGATTTGCCCGCCTTGGCCTCCCAAAGTGCTGGGATTACAGACGTGAGTCACCGCGCCCAGCCTTCCCCTGCTTTTTCTAATACTGACATCTTACATAACCATGATATACTTATTAAAACTAAGAAATGAACATTGGCACAATACTATTCACTAAGCTACTACCTATCTGAGTCTCACCAGTTGTTCCACTAATGTCCTTTTTCTGTTCCAAGATTCAATCCAAGATACCATGTTGCATTTAGTTGTCATGCCTCCTCAGTCTCCTCCAATTTGTGACAGTTTCTCAGTCTTCCTTGTCTTTCATGACCTTGACACTTTTGAAGACTGGGGTTATGGATTTAGGGGAAGAATATCACAGAGGTAAACTGTATTTCTCTTAGCTTCGTATCAGGGGGCACATGATATCAACATGACTTACTACCAGTGATGTTAAAGTGATGATTTGGGTCAAGTGATGTCTGCCAGTTTACTCCACTATAAAGTTACTATTTTTTCCTTTCTTATCTCAATTTGTTAGAAGTGAGTCACTAAGTCTAGCCCACATTCTGAGGGGAGAATTAAGTTCCACCTTCCAGTGGCAGGAATAACACAGACTTTGCGGACGTATGTCGAAATCATCATAGTAATTGATAAATATTTTGGGGGAGATTCTCTGAGACTATGCAAATATTCTGTTTCTTCTTAGCATTTCACCTAATTTTAGCATTCATTTGTAGATCTCGCAGCAAGTATTATGTGGTATTCTAATGGTTATTTTTCTCATTCTTTATTTATTTTTATTTTTTGAGATAGGGTCTCACTCTGTCACTCAGACTGGAATGCAGTGGTGCAATCACAGGTCACTGCAGCCTCAAACTCATGGGCTCAAGCAATCTTCCCACTTCGGCCTCCCTTGTAGGTAGGACTACCGGTGTCTGCTACCACACCCAGCTAATTTTTCATTTTTAGTTTTTGCAGAGATGGAGTCTCACTTTGTCCATGCCGGTCTCGAACTCCTGGCCTCAAGCAATCCTCCTACCTCAGCCTCCCAAAGTGCTGGGATTACATGTGTGAACCACTGTACACAGTCCTCCTATATTTATTAATCAAAATTCTTCTGTAAGGAAGACTTGTTCATTCTTTCTCATTTATTTACTCTTTTTTTTTTTTTTTTTTGAGACAGAGTCTCACTCTGTTGCCCAGGCTGGAGTGCAGTGGCACGATGTCGGCTCACCGCAACCTCTGCCTCCCGGGTTCAATCGATTCTCCTGCCTCAGCCTCCTGAGTAGCTGGGATTATAGGCGCCTGCCACCAAATCCAGCTAATTTTTGTATTTTTAGTAGAGAAGGGGTTTCACCATGTTGGCCAGGCTGGTCTCGAACTCCTGACCTCAAGCGATCCATTCACCTTGGCCTCCCAATGTGTATTTATTTATTCACTTATTTATATCAGATTAGACTCGTAGGCATTTGTTTTATTCTTTGGGTTATGTTCCAATACTATTGCAATTTATTTTATTGCTCAAATCATTGCAGTTTTGGTGACCGGTAGCTCCTGCAGGTCAGACCTGTGTCTTTTTGACATGACCCCCTGAACCCCTCTTTTTTTTAAGTACTTCTTTGCTTTCCGGCACTACAAGTTCTCCTTGCTCATCCTGTCTTTTCTCTGGCTCAGCCCTAATCATTCTTCAAAGGAGCTCTGGTTCTTTGTATTGAAGACTGCTATTTAGAAACCAAGATCTGGGTATGAACTCTATTTATTTGTTTGTTTGTTTAAAGATCAAAAATAAATTCTCTTTATTTTTAAGTCAGAGATTTAATCATTGGATTAAATAAGAAGATTCATTCTTCAAGTCCCTGAAAATTAAAACTTAAAAACTCCAAAATATTTTTACTGTCATTTTCACTCAGAATCACAGGAGAACCATGAGTAGTTTTCCAAATTTTTCATAGGTAAATCCAGTTTCCTCAAATTTAGGACAGAATTATTTGGGGAAAAGTCATGTGTCAATTTGAAAATGCCTAAGCCATAAATTATTTATCATTTACAATCCTTTTTTTTTTTTTTTTTTTTTTTGAGAGAGAGTGTCTCACTCCATCACCAAGGCTGGAGGGCTGGAGTGCAGTGGTGCAACGTGCTTCCTGGGCTCAAGATAGTCTCCCACCTCAGCCTCCCAAGTAGCTGGGATTACAGGTGCACGCCACCATGCCTGGCTAATTTTTGTATTTTTAGTAGAGATAGGGTCTCGCCATGTTGGCCAGGCTGGTCTCAAACACCTGACCTCAGGTGATCCGCCCGCCTCAGCCTCCCAAAGTGCTGGGATTACAGACGTGAGCCACTGCGCCCAGCCAACTTATCATTTACAATCTTTATTCTCATACTCTCACACTCCTCTACCTGAATGATTGACAGACTTCTGAATTCCACTGCTAGAGTCTATTCCCGGGAGTGCTTCCCAAATGCCCCTACCCATAAGAACCTGGCCTTCCAAATAACACTCAAGTTGAAAGCAACGTTTCTGCAAATTAAACAGAAAAAGACTTTTTCCACTTAGAAAATGATCTTCTATTACAGAAGACTCATTTGGTACTTCAATCCTAACATCAATAATGTAAAAATTGTTGTCCTTATACATTTTCCCTCTATGTTATTATTATTAATTTTTTTTTAAGAGACAAGGTCTGGCTCTGTCACCCAGGTTGAAGTGCAATAGCATAGCTCATATACGTTCATAGCCCACTGCAGCCTCAAACTCCTAGGCTTAAGCAATCCTCCCGCCCCAGCCTCCCAAGTAGCTAGGACTAGGGGCATGCACCACCATGCCTGGCTAATTAAAACACCTTTTTTTTTTTCTTTTTTTTGTAGAGATAGGACTGGGAGGTAGGGGGTGAGGAGGCGTTGGGGATAGGTGTCTAGTTATGTTGCTCATATGTTGCTCAAGCCAGTCTCAAACTCCTGGCCTTGAATGATCCTCCCGCCTCCGCCTCCCAAAGCGCTGGAATTATAGGTGTGAGCCACTGCACCTGGCCTCTAATGTTATTTTTTAGTGACTTTTGTTCTTTACATGAATATTGCCTTAAAATACTTTTGATTCTTTCTTCCCTATTCACTATCATTTCTTACATTACTCAATGTTTTTCTCTTCTCTGTACCACTAGATTGCTCATGAACCAGAATCCTGAATTAAACTAAAACACAATACACAACAAAGAAAGGAACAACCCTATGCCAATTTGGTAAATACCTCAAATTAAACTTCATGCAAATACTAATCATCAAATGTTTAATAAAAGTAAATGAAACAGTTGAGTATGTTTGGGTGTTTTGTTGTTGTTGTTGTTGTTGTTGTTTTGAGATGGAGTTTTGCTCTGTCACCCAGGCTGGAGTACAGTGGCACAATCTCAGCTCATCACAACCTCCACCTCCCAGGTTCAAGTGATTCTCCTGCCTCAGCCTCCCAAGTAGCTGGGACTACAGGCATGCACCACCACACCTAGCTAATTTTTGTATTTTTAGTAGAGATGGGGTTTTGCCATATTGGCCGGGCTGGTCTCAAACTCCTAACCTCAGGTGATCCACCTGCCTTGGCCTCCCAAAGTGTTGGGATTACAGGTGTGAGCCACTGAACCTGGCCTGTTTGTATTTTTTAACAGCTAGTAAAACAGTATCAAACACCTACATAATATATAATGATCCTTACAAAAAAAGTCTTCCTAGCCAAGAACTTTCATGTCTTGATGGAACTTTTTCTATTTTATTGCTGCTGAGTAAAAGGAGGACATCATCTTCTTCCTGCTGCTAAAGCCTTCTGATTCTTACTTTTACTGTTGTGTCAGTACAGGAAAGAGATTATAGAAACATCGTTAAGTGGATTACTATATTGATAAAATAGGATGAATAAAGAAACGTCACTACCATTTACTTATAGCATTACTTCTTCTTCTTTTTTTTTTTTTTTGAAACAGGGTCTCGCTGTGTTGCCCAGGCTGGAGTACAGTGGCATGATCTTGGCTCACTGCAACCTCCACCTCTTGGGTTCATGAGATTCTCATGCCTTAGTGTCTCGAGTAGCTGGGACTAGAGGTGCATACCACTACACCCAGCTAATTTTTGTATTTAGTAGAGACAGGGTTTTGCCATGAACTCCTGGCCTCAAGTGATCCACCCACCTTAGCCTTCCAAAGTGCTGGGATTACAGGCATGAGCCACGTGCCTGGCCAACATATAGCATTACTTCTGTAAGAAAATATATTTGTAGGTCCCAAACCATCTGTTTAAAAATGAACCTTTGTTGTGTGTGTATACACACATACACACACACATGTGTATCTTTCATAAGTCATTGCACACTATACACAATACTGTGCACCTTGCTTTTTTTTTTTTTTTTTTTTGAGATGGAGTCTTGCTCTGTCACCCAGGCTGGAGTATAGGTAGTAGCATGATCACGGCTCACTGCAGCCTTGACCTCCCAGGCTCAAGTGATCCTCCCACCTCAGCCTCCTGAGTAGCTGGGACTACAGGTATGTACCACCATGCCCAGCTAATATTTTTTATTTTCTGCAGAGACAAGGTCTTGCTATGTTACCCAGGCTGGTCTTGAACTCCTGGGCTCAAGTAATCCTCTTGCCTTGGCCTCCCAAAGTGCTGGGATTACAGGTGTGAGCCACTGCACCCAGCCTGAACCTTGCTTTTTATACTTAACATATCTTCAAGATCTTAGGTCTTCCATATTAGTATATAAAGATAGGTCTCATTCTTTTTAACAGATGCCTAACATTCCGCAGCATTTTTTTAAAGCTGGCAACTACCTATTCAAAATATAAACATTAAAACAATCTAAACAGAATAGAATGAACAGTTTAAACCTTGTTATCAAAGTCCATTATCAGCTTTTGGATAGACTAACCTTCACTCGGGGACAGAAAAGAAGCACAAAAGGCCAAGGAGAAGAGCAATTTGGATCTAGGGAATTCTGGAGCTGGTCTAGGACCATTCTGGTCCCACACACTTGGGGTTGTGCTATGCTGGGGGTTTGGACCAGCCCTATCAACTCCAATTTTAATAATTTCCAGGAGGCCAAACCAGTGGATTATATAGGCCCTTCAGAATGCCCATGGCCCACATCTTCAGCACTCAAACTTCTGAGGAGAAACAGGGACAATGTACTTGTCTCCAGAAAAGGAAAGGACAGCTCTGTTGGAAGCAAGCTATCTGGACCTCTAGGTTTTCAAAATAGAGCTGTTTCAAGTAAAACTACGCTAGACTTATTCATGAGAAGGATAAAAAACAAATGTTGCCATATTATTTCACCACTGTCTTGACTTATTCTATATTAATTTCATGGGACTGCTATCCAAATATTAGTCCACTAACAATATTATTACCTACTGGGTTACATTTACAAAGACTACTTTTGAAAGTGTCTTAAAAGAAGGAAAAAAATAATATGATCATGTCATACTTACGAAGTGCCAGACAGCAAAAATGGAGTGCGAACACCATCCACCACCACAACATTCCTTATATTGGGTTTGGCTAACGTCTTCTTCGTTTTGGTCTGGACAGCTTTAAGATAAAGTTTAAAAACAAAAACTACTAATTAAAATATATAAAGTCTGATGACTTTTACTTTTTTTTTTTTTTTTTAAGATGGAGTCTCGCTCTGTCACCCAGGCTGGAGTGCAATGGCGTGATCTCGGCTCACTGCAACCTCTGCCTCCCGGATTCAAGCAATTCTCCTGCCTCAACCTCCTGAGTAGCTGGGATTACAGGCACCTGCCATCATGCCCAGCTAATTTTTGTATTTTTGTAGAGATGGGGTTTCACCATGTTGGCCAGACTGGTCTCAAACTCCTGACCTCAGGTGATCTGCCCGCCTCAGCCTCCCAAACTGCTGGGATTACAGATGTGAGCTACCGTGCCTGGCCTACTTTTACATTTTTTAAGATAGTCATTCTAAGAATTATTACATCATTAATGCCAACTTGCATTTGCCATTTACTAAACCACTTTAATTTTTTTTTAAAAAAAGGCTAAGAAATTGACTAGCATTTGTAAGTTTCTAAATAATATTTAAGATAAACAAAGCTTATATCCAATGATGAGGGAATTTATGCCATTAACAAAATAGTTCATTTTTACTAAGTGTTTGACAACCTATTTCATTAGAAGTAACCAAATTTACACGCAAATCTACCCTTAATATTAGAAGTTGCAATGATTGATATTGTTCACTCTTCACATAGCTTGATGTTCTTACCTTTTCTACGTGGAAATAAGGGGCACTTGGTTGGTGACTTGCTATTCTGCAAAAATCTACATGCCTAAATACTTTTTAATCTCAAAAAAGCAAACTTCCTTTAGGTTTCTTAAATTAAAGAATAAAATATAAATGTGTGCCTATGGTTTTTTTTAAAAAGTAAATAATACTGAACTATGGAGAGTAAAAACTAAAGTTCCCTCTTTATGCCTTCGCCTACCACACTATTTTCTTCTAAGAGGTAAAGTCTGTTTATTTGGTGTATATACTTTCAAATCGTTTCTTTTAGTGCACTTACATGCATATACTTGTATATTATGTATATTTTATTGGCTTAACAATATAGCTCGAAGAACATTCCATGTTAGTATATCAAAATCTAGTTCATTATTTTCTTGTTTTTGTTAATGTTGGAATTTACCTACTCTATCATTATTCCTTATCAAAGATAGAAAAAAATCCTAAATTATTGGGAATACAATGTCAACAACGACCTTACCACACCTGTTAATGTCACAGAGAAGTATTTATAGTAAACATCTACAACCAACTTTAAAGAAATATTAGTGAGAGTTAATAGTCATGATAAAATAGGGCATAAAGATGACGCTGGCAGCATTCATGGAGAAGTGCTGCTGGTGAAGGAGATAAAGGCAACAAGGAGGTAAGCAAAGAGACTGTGGCAAACCCAAGCATGTGGCACAAAAGGCCAGGATAAAGGCAGTATCAACATGAGTAAAGAGGAAGTTTATAAAAGAAAACAAGGTATGTTGGCAACCAATCAGATATAGAAAGAAAGGAAAGAGGAAAACAGGATTATAAAGGAATCTTAGAGACTAAGAATACCTAGCTACCCGAAACAAAGTGAGAACTGGTTTTGGAAAAAAAAGGGGACTTAATTTTTTTTTTTTGAGATGATGCCTTGCTCTGTCGCCAAGGCTGGAGTGCTGTGGCACGATCTCGGCTAACTGCAACCTCCACTTCCCAGGTTCAAGCAATTCTCCTGCCTCAGCCTCCCAAGCAGTTGGGATTACAGGCACACGACACCACACCTGGCTAGTTTTTATATTTTTAGTAAAGATGGGGTTTTACCTTGTTTGCCAGGCTGGTCTTGAACTCCTGACCTCAAGTGATCCGCCAGCCTTGGCTTCCCAAAGTGTTGGGATTACCGGCATAAGGCACTGCGCCTGGCCTCATTTTTAAACTCGCTAACTTTGAGGTGACAGAGAGACAACCAGGTGGATATGTTAATTCCACAGTTAGCTAGAAGATGCAAAGCAAAACCTCTGAAGAGAAATGAGTGTAGATTAGAAAGTCATGAAATATTGAAGCTTAGAATACAGAAGGAAAGCAGAGATGTATTCTGCAATGCCTGTTCTCCCACAGCCCCCTCTATTTCTTTTATTTTTAAATTTCCTATTTCCTCTTTAACAATAAAAGATACTTTTTTTGTTTGTCTGGATGGGGGGGGGGTATTTGTTGTGTTGTTGTTGTTTTGGACATCCCACAGGCCCCTCTAAAGGGAGTTGCCCTGCTTACAGTCCCTGCCAAAGGGGAAGCCATAGACACATCCCTAAGTCAATATAAAAGCTGATTAGATTCAGAGTAGGTACTGGACTCACCAATGATCCATCCATATAGGAGCCAACCAGAAACCAGTGTCATCTACCTACAAGTGATCAACTGTGTTGGTCAGATTCTCTCTCTAGGCAAAGAAGCATGGAAAGAAATGCCAATTAGTTGAAGCTAAAAAGATGCCATGAGGAAGAACAGGTTGATGGTAAACTGATGTCATTCGTAAGCCAGAGTTTGTAAACCATAAGTGAGCAAATAAGCCAGCCAGAATGAAGAATGATAGAAGCAGAAAGACCAGGAAAGGGACATACCATGTGGTGTGTGAGACAAAGTAGCTGGCCCCTAGAGCTGCTTGCTTGGTTCCTAACACCTTTCCAGCTGTAGTACACACAAACCTTCTCATCCTTAACTTGAGGGTCCATTACTACACCAAAAAACCCTTAGCTTTGTGATGTCCCTACAATGAGAAGGCTGAGGGAATATGTGAGACAAACAGTAACTTGAGAGGTAGTAGGAGAATCAAGAGAGAACAGTACACAAGATCAAAGGCAGGAGAGTGTCAAGGAGAACAAGATGGTTAAATGCATCGGTCCTCAAGGAAAATCCTTATTTGAGCAGACAGAAAACAGGTCACTAAATTTGAAGATTTGCACACTATTCATGACTGACCTTGCAGGTGACAGGTCGAATGGTACACCATCATGTCATTCCACATTTTAAAAACTAACCAAGCCAGGCGTGCTGGCTCACGCTGTAATCTCACCGCTTTGGGAGGCTGAGGCAGGCAGATCATTTGAGGTCAGGAGTTCAAGACCAGCCTGGCCAACATGGTGAAACCCCGTCTCTACTAAAAATACAAAAATTAGCTGGGCACGGTGGTACGCTCCTATAATCCCAGCTACTGGGGAGGCTGAGGCAGGAGAATGGCTTGAACACAGGAGGTGGAGGTTGCCGTAAGCTGAGATCATGCCACTGCACTCCAGCCTGGGTGACAGAGCAAGACTCTGCCTCAAAAAAAAAAAAAAAAAACCAGAAAAAACTGACCATATATTCCTTTTATATACTTTCAGATAAAATTCAAATTCTTAACTCTTCTAACAAATAGCTTGTTTTACTCGGTTCCACCTTAAGTATTTTCCACTACTTCTCAAAATAGAACAAGATGAGCCAGCCCCCAGTCCTTTACAGCTTTGCTCAGGTCAGCCTCCTTGCCTTTACTTATGGACCTCCCATCTGCCTGGCCCCTTTTTTGCCCATCGAATTCTTACCTGTCTCTTGGGCCTCGTTCACATTCTACCTCCTAGTAAAGCCTTCCCTGATAACTACAGTTACTGATGATTCCTGCCTCTAAACCTCTGGGCAACCTCTAGGGCACACTGGCCATTCCAAATAATTTAGCATATTATAAAGTAATTAAACTAACTCTACAAGGCACATTTAAAAAATATTCATTATTATATGTAGGAGATCAGTCGGAGTGGTGGGAGAAACTATAGGGAAAGATGCAGGCCTTCTAAAAGGTCAGAAGGTTCTGCAGAGCCCTGGGGGAGAATAGCTGAAGGCAGCTGTTCTATAACCCTGAGGCAGAGGGCAAGGAGTAGGTACAAGGGAGTGTAGGGGAACGTATCTTAAACTAGCTTATTTATGTTGACCAGGAGCTGATCTTTGATCATCCATGCAAGACGTTCCTGGAAGGGGAGAAATAAACGTTAATTACCCACAGATTGTGTTTGCTCCAGGCTTTCATCACTGTGCCTACACTGAATAAAAGCAAGGAGCTCCAGCTTCTCAGGGCTGCTGCACTTTGGCCACTAGAGCCAGGCAGACCCCTAGCTGCTCTTACACTGCATACCTGTGTCTGAGTACTCATTTCATCTGTCAGTCAGCCAGGGTCTGTGGGACAGACCCGGCAGGTGGTGCCCCGTGTGAGACATGCTGCAATGGATCACGACAGAACCCTTGAAAATGAAAGTGAAGTGACCGTGCAGTAAGTAATTGGTGCCCACTCAGGATTTCCAAGTTCGAGGGGATTTTCAAGCTAGGGTTTCATCATGGGACATGATGTTCAAGCTAGGGTTTCATCATGGTGAGAGGGTTTCATCATGGTGAGAGGCAGGACTAGCTGGATTTCCTAGGCCGACTAAGAATTCCTAAGCCTAGCTGGGGAAGGTGACTGCACCCACCTTTAAACACGGGGCTTGTAACTCAGCTCACACTCGACCAATCAGGTGGTAAAGAAGGCTCACTAAAATATCAATTAGGTTAAAAGCAGGAGGTAAAGAAATACTCAAATCATCTATCATCTGAGAGCACAGGGGGAGCGACAATGATTGGGATATAAACCCCAGGCATTTGAGCAAGGAGGGGCAACCCCCTTTGGATCCCCTACCCTTGTATAGCAGCTCTGTTTTCACTTTATTAAATCTTGCAACTGCACACTCTTCTGGTCCATGTTTGTTCTGGCTCGAGCTGAGCTTTTGCTCACCTTCCACCACTGCTGTTCGCCACTGTCACAGACCCGCTGTTCGCCACTGTCGCAGACCCGCTGTTGACTTCCACCCCTCGGATCTGGCAGGGTGTCCGCTGCGTTTCTGATCCAGCGAGGCACCCAGTGCCATTCCTGTTTGGGCTAGAGGCTCGCCATTGTTTCTGTGCGGCCAAGTGCCCAGGTTCGTCCTAATCGAGCTCAACGCTAGTCGCTGGGTTCCACGATTCTCTTCCATGACCCATGGCTTCTAATAGAGCTATAACACTCACTGCATGGCCCAAGGTTCCATTCCTTGGAATCCATGAGGCCAAGAGCCTCAGGTCAGAGAAAAAAAGGCTTGCCGCCATCTTGGGAGCCGCCTGCCCCATCTTGGGAGCTCTAAGAACAAAGGCCCACCCGTAACAATGGGACTTGAGTTATCAGCTCAACAGCAACAGTACATAAAAGTATTGAAACAGCTGCTTGAAGCTAGCACAGCCTCCGTTTCGGAGGCTCAGTTAAGGGACCTAATGCAAACTGTTGTTTTCCATAACCCACGGTTCCCAGAAGAAGGCACACTAGACCTAGAGTTCTGGGAACAAGTTGGAAGAAATCTTTTTTTTTTTGAGACAGAGTCTTGCTCTGTCCCCAGGCTAGAGTACAGTGGCACGATCTCGGCTCACTGCAAGCTCTGCCTCCAGGGTTCACACCATGCTTCTGCCTCAGCCTCCCAAGTAGCTGGGATTACAGGCGCCCGCCACCACGCCCGGCTAATTTTTTGTATTTTTAGTAGAGACAGGGTTTCACTGTGTTTGCCAGGATGGTCTCCATCTCTTGACCTCGTGATCCGCCTGCCTCAGCCTCCCAAAGTGCTGGGATTACAGGTGTGAGCCATCACGCCCAGCCACAAGTGGGAAGAAATCTTAAATGACATCATGCACAAGGGCAACAGGTCCCAGTAACATCTTTAACGTTGTGGGCCTTAGTTAGGGCTGCTTTGGCCCTGCTCTACACAGAAGAGCCTAAAAAGAGAAGCGAAGAGGAACCATCACCTACCTTACCACCTCCTCCTCCCTCAGCCCCGCCGTTACTGGGTAAAGGTGCCACAGAGGAGACAGAGGTTTTTCCTGAGCCCCCTCCCCCAATAAACTGGGAAGAAGACAATGGATATACTACAGTTATGGGACCCTGTCTTAGGCAAGCAGCATTAGAAGGGGAGCTCTTGGCCGGGTGTGGTGGCTCATGCCTGTAATCCCAGCACTTTGGGAGGCCGAGGTGGGCAGATCACGAGGTCAGGAGATCGAGACCATCCTGGCTAACACGGTGACACCCCATCTCTACTAAAAGTACAAAAAATTAGCCAGGTGTGTTGGCGGGCACCTGTAGTCCCAGCTACTCAAGAGGCTGAGGCAGGAGAATGGCATGAACCTGGGAGGCAGAGCTTGCAGTGAGCCGAGACTGTGCCACTGCACTCCAGCCTGGGCGACAGCACGAGACTCTGTCTCAAAAAAAAAGAAAAAAAAAAAAAAAGAAGGGGAGCTCTTAGCCTTCCCAGTGACGCAAGATCAACAAGGCAATCAGGTACATGAACCCATTACTTTCAACACTTATAAATAAATAAGAAAAAGCATTAGAGAAAACAGAGCCACTAGCACATTTACGAGAGGACTGATTGAGGCCACAGCAGAAAACTACCATATGACCCCTTTCTAATAATGGCCAATTATGTATTCAATAGTCACCTAAGGACTCTCATTCTGCTTCATGTGCACACTGGCTCCTAAGCACATCAAAATTTTCTCAAGACAATACAGCTCCATTTTATATATTCTACAGTGCTCTGGGCACACAGCAGTAATGAATTATAAGAATCTGAATTGAGAGCTAAAATATCTGGGTTGTAGGCCTACTCTGCCACGATTTTCTTATTTGCAAATATTAGAGCTGAACTAGATGACCTCAAAGGCTCTAACCAACTCCAAAACCTACAATTCAATGGCTGACTGATATACATTGTATACTCTTTAAAAACAATTAAAATCAAAGAAGATAATAAATGTGTCATGTATTATACAACTATTATACACGTGTGTGTGTATATATATATATATATATACACAGAGAGAAAGACATCTATACATAGACATAACCATCAAATCAGTCAAAATTTCCATCAGACACTTACATTTCCAGTCCATCAGATGACTAAAAACATCCATAAATTCTGTACCCCTCTATTTTAATTCCTTCATCCTAACAGCTCTGTCAAGAAGAGATATTCACACAAGCTTCAAGAGGAATTAGTTATAAAATTACTGCAATCTTCAAACCAGAATGCCAGTTAAAACAAAAAAAAAATTACTGCAACCTAAAACCTGCTCAGCACAGGCACATGCCTGCTTCCTCCCTCAAATCAGCTGGCCACTTCCCATTGTTTTATCACGTGCCTTCTGGTACCACTATCATCATCAGCGTTAATGCAAGTTACTTGTGGGACACTGTTATATTTGCGGAACACCATGTTATACACTGGGGATACCAAAAAGCTAAAGACTCACAGGGCTTACAATACAGTTGGGGAGACACAAACATCAGAAACAGTTACAGAGCAATATAAGGAATAGTTTAAACACCAGATACTTGGTTTCCTCTGCTGGTATTCAGAATGACCTTCTCCCACTTGGCAAGGATCAGGTCTATTTGTGTGACTTTGCAAAGCAAAGACCTGGGTCAACATTAGAATTAGGGAAAAGGCAAAACAAGACAGACAGGAATTATTTATGGGGCTACTACAAACCTATATTCTAGTTAGAATGTAAAGGCCACAGGAAATATATTTGTTATATGACAATATGAAACTTCTCTAGTTGGGATTAGGCAATAATAGAAAAATACCATCTTGCACTTACAGTGAATTTATAGTTTTTAAAGTGCTTTGAGATATCTCATAACTATATGAGGCTGACAAGACTAGACTTATTATATATTCCTTTTTTAGATGAAGAAACCAAGCACAGGGAAGTAAAGTGACCAGTTCAAGGCCACACTGCCCAGAAAGAGGTAGAGCTGGAAGAGAGTACAGGTCTTCTGAATCCTGGGAACCAAATCCCAGGATTTTTTCTTTCTTTCTTTTTTTTTTTTTTTTGAGCCGGAGTCTCGCTCTGTCACCCAGGCTGGAGTGCAGTGGTGTGACCTCGGCTCACTGCAAGCTCCGCCTCCTGGGTTCAAAGATTCTCGTGTCTCAGCCTCCCAAGTAGCTGGGACTACAGGCGTATGCCACCATGCCCAGCTAATTTTTGTATTTTTAGTAGAGATGGGGTTTCGCCATGTTGACCAAGCTGGTCTCAAACTCCTGACCTCAGGCCATCCACCTGCCTCAGCCTCCCAAAGTGCTGGGATTACAGGCGTGAGCCCCCGCACCCAGCCTGGAAGGTATTTTTTCTATTATTATACAGGTAGAAATACCATAATAAAACCAAAATCAAAGGCATGGGTCAATACAGAATCTAGGCAAGGAGAAAAATGTTAAGAATTTGTCAGGGTGTTTTTAGCACTAGCCAGTGAAGATAAAAACCTACAGCAGATTCTACAAAAATCTGCAGTAAAGAAGCCTAATTCATTGGGTTTACTAAGGGTGTAAATGACCATATAAAATCAACACATTTCCTTACTCTTTCATTTCATATTAACTAAACAACTTTCTGTTATTAACTAGTTCCTAATCACTTCTATTTCAGGAATGGGCCCTCTTGCACATGGGAGAAGAAGATATTCATCAATAGAGAAGCATTTCACAAATTGCAAATTTAAAGTTAACTTTTGGTTCCATAGCAGGTCTCAAGAGCATTTGTATGCCATTCACCTCCAGGACGGACAGCAAGAGGATAAATAAACTGACCAACGAGGTTTATGGAACCTCCATGACTCCAGCAGGTTCAAATCCCAGAAAACAGCCTCCCATTAACATCCTCAAGCCTAATCCTAAATAATGTAGTATCATTATTGATTGGACCTATAATTTTTTAATTTGAAGGCAACAGAGATGTTCATGTGCTCATAAAAAGGGGAGAATTAGCAAATTAGTTTTGGTTTTTATTCAGAGTTCACAAACTATAGAATCTGGAATCTAACATTTAAATCAGAAATATTTATTTTACAAATTACTGTACCTGGGGCAGCTCGTAGCTGGGAGGAACAGCTCAGAGGTCTTATGGCTGGAAGACAAAATAAACTGTTTACAAAAAGCAATACCATTCAGTATCTGTGCGAGATGTTTATAAATCCAAATCCAATCTCTAAAAATAAAAAAATAATAATAAACTTACAAAATCTGAGGGCCCATTTTGATGCAGTGGGAAGATTTTTAAAGGGGTAAGTCAAGATAGTCATTCTGGAATCTAAAAAGAGAAGAACAAAAGTATATCCTGGATTAGCTGAACAATTTGTAGTTTACATTGTAGTCTATGAACTCTGATAACCTCATCCATGGCTACTAGAAAACATTAAAACTTAATCTTATCAACTATTCTTCATCTAATAATATTATTATGATAGGAACACCAACATGGTTTTCACATTGCAGCAACCACTATTCTAAGCATTAACCATCTAATCTTCACAATGACCTACAAAGGAGGCATGATTATTACATCCTTTGTAAGAGATAAGGAAATTGAGGCATAGTAGGATTGAGTGACTTGCCAAAAGACCTACAACTAGTGAGTGGCAGAGCTGGAATTTTTATTTATTTATTTATTTATTTATTTATTTATTTATTTATTTATTTTTTTGAGATGGAGTTTTGCTCTTGTTGCCCAGGCTGGAGTACAGTGGTGCAATCTCGGTTCACTGCAATCTTTGCCTCCCAGGTTCAGTCGATTCTCCTGCCTCAGCCTCCCGAGTAGCTGGGATTACAGGCACGTGCCACCACACCCGGCTAATTTTTTGTATTTTTAGTAGACATGGGGTTTTGCCATGTTGGCCAGGCTGGTGTCGAACTCCTGACCTCAGGTGATCCATCGCCTTGGCCTCCCAAAGTGCTGGGATTACAGGCGTGAGCTACCGCACCAGGCCCAGAGCTGGAATTTGAACCTAGGAAGTCTACCTCTAGAGTGTGTGCTCCTCTCCTTTAGGGTCAAAGAAGCAGAGAGACTGCTAGGCGTGATAATAAAACCATTAGTATTAGTTTCACGATTCTGAAGGCTGTACTATGATTATGTAGAAGGCTTTGTGGAATGTTTGTATCTGAAGGGAATATACACTAAATAGGGATGGTGAAGCATCATGTCAGCAACTTAATCTCAACTGCTACTAAAAAAAGTTTGTAGTACTGCACTTGCAACTTTTTCAAAGTTTGATACTGTATTGTTTCAAAACAATAAAAAAGTAAAACATATAATAACCCTATATGTTAAAAAATATGTAAAATATATTAACAACTTTCCCCCACCCCTCCAAAAAAGACTAAATTTCTAACAATGAGTTCCTACAGATTACTAAGGAAAACACTAGCAGACAAATAGGCACAGAATATGAACAGACCACAGAAAAGGAAATACAAATGGTTCTTAAGTATATGAAAAGATGTTCAATTTCACTCATAAGAAGAATTCAAATTAAAACCACAGATATAATTGTCTCTCAAAGTAGCAAAGATTCAAAGGTTTGATATATACTCTGTGTAGGTAAGAGTATGTGCAAATAGATATTCTCATATACTGCTGCCAAGAGAACTGGCACAGTCCATGGGGAGGGCAATTTGGTAATTATCCATGAAAACTATAACTGAAACTAATGTTTGAACCAGCAATTCCACTTCCATGAACTGACTTCATGGATATTACTCACACACAGGACATAATCCATATTGTTACTGTAATAGTCAAAAATTAGAATAACCAAAAAATAGGAAAATGGGTAAGTAAACCATGCTACAACACCCCTGTGAAATACTATGCAGCTGTAAAAGGTAAGGAAATGATTATGCACCAATTCGGAACCATTTTAAGCTGTATCATTAAGTGAAGAAAGCAAGGTGCAAAATAGCTGTACAGCATGCTATCATTCATGTTAAAAGAGGAAAAATATTATGTACATTTCCTTGTATCAGTATAAAATCCCCCTGGAAGTATAATAAAGATGTTAAAAATAATTGTTGGCTGGAAGAAAGGGAACTGGGTAACTAGGGGTCAGGGGTGGAAGACTTGTCATCACACACCTTTTATAATTTCTTAATTTTGAAGCATGTTTTAACAACAACAACAAAAAATCAAAACCAAAAAAATCCCACAAGATTTACCAACAAAGACTTTGGTAGCCAGCCTCCAAGTTGCCCCCCAATAATCTCTACCTCTTGGTATTCACATCCTTGTCTAGCTGCCTCCCTCTCCATATCACAGAATGTATAAACCAAAAAGTATGTTACAAGTAATGGTATGCCACTTCTGAGATAGGCTATAAGAGATACTGCAGCATCTGTCGTGGTCTCTCTCTCAGCTCACCCACTATGAGAGAAGCCAGGTGGCATGTCCTGAGCAGCCTTATGAAGAGGCTCCTGTGGTGAGGAACTGATGCCTCTTGCCAACAGCCATGTGAGTGAGCTTGGAAGCGGAGCCTCTAGCGCAGGCAAGCTTTCAGCTGACTCCAGCCCTGCCAACATTCTGACAGCCACCTTATGGGAAACTCAGAGCAACCCAGCTAAAGTGCCCTTGATTCCTGACCTTCAGAAACTATGAGATGGTAAACATGTATTGTTTTAAACTGCTACATTTGGCGGTAATTGGCTACACAGAAATAGATAATACAAAAGCTTTAAGGTTTAACTTCTCTTGGGTCTTTAGAGACTAAAAGAAGGAGGTCCTATAGCTTCCGAAAAGAAAAAAACAAAACATGTTCCAAACATGTGGATTGGAAAGAGATGGAGAAGCCCAAGCTTTAGGATCACCAGCCTAGGGATATTCAAAGGACTCTGGCCAGAGAAACACAAAGAGGCCCATGAGAGAGGCACCACTCAGAAGCTACTTACAATGCCACAAGGGTCTGGGCTACAAGTTCCCTTACGTAAGGTTCATCTTGAAATAAAATTCATGAAAATTGTCAAGAAAATGTTGAAAAACAAAAGGGGGAACCTTGTTGCAACAGATAACAAAACTTTCTAGGCCAGGCACAGAGGCTCACACCTGTAATCCCAGCACTTTGGGAGGCCGAGGTGGGAGGATCACTTGAGCCCAGGAGTTTGAGACCAGCCTGGGCAACCTAGTGAGACCCTGTCTTTACAAAAAATACAAAAAACTAGCTGGGCATGGTGGCATGTGCCTGTAGTCGCAGCTACTCAAGAGGCTGAGGTGGGAGGAGCACCCGAGCCAGGAGTTCGAGGCTGCAGTGAGCCATGATCACGCTACTGTACTCAAGCCTGGGCAACAGAGTAAGATCCTGTCTCAAAAAAAAACAAACAAAACACTTTCTAGAAAGAACCAATAATTAAAACAGAGCAGCTTTAGCACAGGAATAAACGACACTGATCAACAAAACAGGATGTAGCAGTTCAGAAGCAGACCCATGTATGTAAGAATTTAGTGTATAATAAATATAACACTTGAGTTAGCTGAGAGAAAGAAATTATTCCATGAATTCACTGGGAAAATGGCTAAACATTTGGAAAAAATTTTAGGTTCGCAGCTCACAGCGAAAGCACAAATAAATGCCAGACAGATTAAATATTTAAATGTATATATTTTAAATATATATATTCTAACTATAAAAGTACTAGAGGAAAACATCGGAGAATATAATATATACATACACACACGTGTATGTATTTTTTAGAGACAGGGTCTCGCTCTGTTGCCCAAGCTGTAGTGCAGTGGTATGATCATAGGTCACTGCAATCTGGAACTCCTGGGCTCAAGGGATCCTCCTGCTTCAGCCTCCTGAGTAGCTTAGACTACAGGCACATGCCACCATGCCTGGCTAATTAAAAAAAAAAAAAAAAACTTTAGAGACAGGCTAGTCTCAAACTCCTAGCCTCAAGTAATCCTCCTACCTCGGCCTCCCAACATGCTGGGATTACAAGCATGAGCCACCATATCCAGCCTCAGAGAATATTTTTATCACTTAGATGGAGAAGGGATTTCAACATATGGCACAAAACCCAGAAGTACAACAGAAAATAATAACTAATAGATCTGATCATATAAACATTCAAAATATACACATAGTAAAATATACTAAAATCAAGTTAAAAGGCAAATAGATTCAGAGAAAATATTTGTAACATGTAAAACAGAAAAGGGTTGATACCCATAATCCATAAAGAACTTGTACAAATTATAAGAAAAATAAGGCCAGGCGCAGTGGCTCATGCCTATAATCCCAGCATTTTGGGACGCCCAGGCAGGTGGATCACCTGAGGTTGGGAGTTCAAGACCAGCCTGACCAACATAGAGAAAGCCCATCTCTAATAAAAATACAAAATTAGCCAGGCCTGGTGGCACATGCCTGTAAGCCAGCTACTTGGGAACTGAGGCAGGAAAATCGCTTGAACCCGGGAGGCGGAGGTTGCAGTGAGCCAAGATCATACTATTGCACTCCAGCCTGGGCGACAGAGCGAGACTCCATCTCCAAAAAAAGAAAGAAAAAGAAAAACAGAAACAATCTATCATGGAATCTGTAGTTTGTACTCTAATATCCATTCCACCCAAATGTAGCTGCTGTATGTGGCTTACATGGGATTGAATCCAGCCCAACTCCAGGGTTTAAACCAATCAGAATAATCTCATTCTCTCTGCCAAGATCATTGATTCAGGTACCAAGGCCTCAAACAACCATGCACGGCATTGCCTTGACCACTGGTATTGATTTGTGGATGGTTTCATCAGTTTAACACTCAAGTCTTCTGCCTATAATTCTGGAACACAAATCTTTCCTTCTGAGGCCTGGCATGGCTACAGCAATTTGCAAACATTAACAAAGCTAGGCTAAGATAGAGCTAACACCAAACAAGCAGAAGAGTACGGAGCTGAGAATTCTGGAAAAAGAAGAGTCCTGGCCGAATCCCATCTGAAACCCAACCTCTCATTGTGCTTTTCAGTTCTGTGAGCCAATAAATCTCCTTTATTTATTTATTTATTTTTTTGAGACGGAGTCTCACTCTGTCGCCCAGGCTGGAGTACAGCGGCGCGATCTTGGCTCACTGCAACCTCTGCCTCCTGGGTTCAAGCAATTCTCCTGCCTCAGCCTCCCGAGTAACTGGGACTACAGGCGCACACCACCATACCAGGCTAATTTTTTTTATTTTAGTAGAGACAGGATTTCACCGTGTTGATCAGGCTGGTCTCGAACTCCTGAGCCTCCCAAAGTGCTAGGATTACAGGCGTGAGCCACCACGCCCGGACTAATAAATCCCCTTTAAGAAGCCAATTTGATTTGAATTTTCTGTTATTTGCAACTGAAAGACTCCTTCCTGATACATGACCAAAAGCAAGAATGAGAAAACAAGCCATTCACAGAAGAAATTAAAATGCCAAATAAACAAAATGTATAATGTTCAACCTCACTAACAAAAAGTTGTGATTTTCTTTTTTTTTTTGAGACAAAGTCTCACTCTTGTCCCCCAGGTTGGAGTGCAATGGCGCGATCTCGGCTCACTGCAACCTCCACCTCCTGGGTTCAAGCGATTCTCCTGCCTCAGCCTCCCGAGTAGCTGAGACTCCAGGCACGTGCCACCACGCCTGTCTAATTTTTGTATTTTTAGCAGAGATGGGGTTTCACCATGTTGGCCAGGCTGGTCTTGAACTCCTGACCTCAGGTGATCCGCCCGCCTCTGCCTCCCAAAGTGCTGGGATTACAGGCATGAGCCACTGCGCCCAGCCTTTTTGTTGTTGTTGTTGTTGTTTTTTAAATCAAAG
This sequence comes from Homo sapiens, assembly GCF_000001405.40. NCBI lineage: Eukaryota > Metazoa > Chordata > Mammalia > Primates > Hominidae > Homo > Homo sapiens. Next base: position 26,248,738 of record NC_000002.12, on the reverse strand, counting down.
CAAGGTATCATTTTGTGGTTTTCAGATTGGCAAACATTGAAAATATGGTTAATATATAATTCTAGTAAGAATGCATCTAACTAAATAGGCACTTCCATACACTAGAAGACATGTAAAATGCTAAGGCCTTTTGGGATGACAATTTTGTAGTTATAGATCAGAATTTAAAATGTGAATTTTTGAGTCCAATAATGCCTTTTATTGGTCTCTAACCTATAGAAATATTCAAAATGTATGTATAGCATATATAGGTCTCTAGCGTAAAATACTCAAGGTGGGCCAGGGGTGGTGGCTTACGCCACTGAACTCCAGCCTAGGAGACAGAACGAGACTCCGTCTCAAAAAAAAAAAAAGAAATACTCAAGGTGTTCACTATAGCACTGTTTATATTTGTGGAAAACCGTAACTAATCTAAATGCACATCAGTAGGAAACAGTTAAGTAAGTTATAGTATAAACACACCATGGAATACTGTTTGGCAGTTTGGAAAAGAAAATGAAACAAAATGATGTACATGTATATATACTGACATGGAAAAATGTCCATAATATATATTAAATGAAAAAGCAAGCTACAGAACAATGTGTATTAGAAATTAGAATAATAGATTAGAATAACTGGAAAATAGGGAAATGGGTAAGTAAACCCTACTACAACAACCATTTTGTGACAGAAAGAGAGAAAGAGAAAAGAAAGTCCCTGAAGCTATGAGTCTAGACATGGAAGGATAAAGAAAGGCTTTTATTTAATATTCTTCTGTTCTCTTTAATTTTTTTAAAATAAGCATTTTACTTATGCATAATTCTAGTTTTATTTAAAATCTATATATACTGTTGTTCCTCAGTATCCAAGGGGGATTGGTTCCAGAACCCCCCTCAGATACCAAACCTCAAGGATGCTCAAGTCCTTTACATAAAATGGCATAGTATTTATTTGCAAAGAACCTACACACATCCTCATGCATACTCTAAATCATCTCTAGACTACTTACAATACCGAATGCAATGTAAATCTATGTAAATAGTCGTTATGCTGTATCGTTTAGGGAATAATGATGAGAAAAAAAGTCTGTACATGTTCAGGACAAATGAAACCACTGTAGGCCTAACTACATTTTCACTCAGACATTGGTTGAATCTGAGGATGTAGAACTCACAGATACCAAGGGCCGACTGTACATCAATATCTTATATAAATATATACAAATATACAAATGCATTTTAAAAAGTCCAGAAAAATACACATCAAAATGTTAAAAGTAGTTATCTCCGGGTGGTGGAATTACAGATTTTCTTTAGACTTTTCTGTAGTTTCTGAATAAAAAATTACATGGAATATGTATTCCTTCAATAGTTAATAAAAAATAGAGATTTCAAAAGTAAGAGGGACTAAGCAAATTATCCTATAGCAGAGCTGACCTTTCTGTCATTTGCTAAACTTCAGAAAACAGAAATTTTGGTAAAAATATTCAAAGCATGGAAACTCCAGGGTAGGGTAGGGTAGGATCGAGTTGGTTAGGGTAAGCCTGAGTAAGGTGTGAACTATGGAAAGATACACGAAGCTGCAGGCACCTGGGAGCAAGGGAAAGGAAGAAGAGTCTAGGCAAGTAATGAAAACAAAAGCAAGATGGGGTGGCTCTAACAGCTCATTATTACAACTTTGAAACACAACGTAATGGTTAAGAGAACTAAAGCCAGACTATGTCCAAATCCTGATTCACCCTAGCTGTATGACTTTAAGCCAGTTACTTAACCACATAGGACGCGCACGCGCACACACACACACGCACGCACACCCACGTGCACACACCACTTAAAACAGTGCTTGATACACAGTTAGGGGTATACCTGTGTTTGCTATTACCAGTAGAGATGGTGATACAAATGTACTGTTTCCCTCTATATAAACCATTGGACTAAAGTGCTTAGGGATCAAAGAAACATTATAACATTTCTGCCCTGATGGAGCTTAGTTTTGTAGAGAAAGCACAGGGAGCAAAAAAATGGAGCCAAATGAGTGATCTAAATCAGGGATTGGCAAACTACAACACACGGGCCTCTAGCTAAAAATAGTTTTTCACATTTTTAAAGAGTTGTAAGGTCGGGCGTGGTGGCTCACACTTGTAATCCCAGCACTTTGGGGGGCAGAGGTGGGCGAATCACCTAAGGTCAGGAGTTCGGGACCAGGCTGGCTAACATGGTGAAACCCCGTCTCTACTAAAAATACAAAAAATTAGCCCGGCGTGGTGGTGTGCGCTTGTAATCCCAGCTACTCGGGAGCCTGAGGCAGGAGAATCACTTGAACCCGGGAGGAGGCTGCAGTGAGCCAAGATCGCGCCACTGCACTCCAGCCTGGACAACAAGAGCAAAACTGTCTCAAAAAAAAAAAAAAGTTGTAAACAAAACAAAACAAAAGAAACAATATATAACAGAGACCAAAGTGATCCTGCAAATCCTGAACTATTTACTGTCTGGACCTTTAACAACAACAACAAAATTTACCACTTCTGACCTAAATAATAAGTGTTACACGCAGTTAGGTGTTGAAGAAAGCATTACATGGGCAGGAGGCAGGCTCTGAACTGTAAAAACCTTGTAAGATTATCAAGAATCCTTTTTGCAATTTATTCAGAAGTGGTCAGGTCATCCAGTTTCTGCTTAAAGTGCTCACATGATGAGCACTCACTATGCAACTTGAGCTTTAAACAGAAACCTCTCTACTCTGTCTCTATACTCATTTCAGTCTTAACTTCGATGCCCCTTGTTTCCTGTCCTGCAGAGCTGTCAGTCTGGCGAGTAGTGAGACTCAGACTTATGTCTGAATGCTAGGTCTGTCACAGACTAGAAAATGTATATATTCTGAGCTTCCCAAACTTCATCTAGAAAATGCAAATGATAATAATTTGGGGAATGTGAGGACTAAACAAAAAGGTATGAAGGTGACCAGAGCACAGCAGGCTCTCAATGTGACTTCCTTTTGAAATCAATCACTTTATTCCAGGACTCCAGCCCATCATTCCAGCACAAAAACAGCTACCATGCAATGAAGAACTCTTCACTAGGAGTTAGTAGACTTAGGCTCCAGTCTTATTTCTACTACATATGGCCATGGGTAAAATCACTCTCTCTGATTCGTAGGCAGTTTCTTCACCGCTTAAGTGAGCTGAGGTGTGAACGACCAGATAGATAATCATCCAGATCGGAAAACCCCCGAGAGCGCAGGATTATCTGGATAACGGAGCCGGATGGAGGATTGTCTCCGTTCCTCCCACACTCAAGCCCCGAAAGGTCACCTGACCTAGTCTTATTCTTTACAGCAGAAATCGGGCAAACCCATGGCGCCGTCCACAATCTCTATAGCCGCCGACCTGGGTACAGGGGAAGCAGGCGAAACAACACACACTTCTACGCAGACCAGGGTTACATTAAGGCCGACGCCCACACACGCCCACACACACCCACACACACACACACACCCCCACACCCCCAGACTTCGTTAACTTGTGATGATAAATTAGGGCGCAGGTGACACTACTGTCCCGAACTTCAGCTGGAACGCTAGTCCAAGTCACTGTCCTAACTGCAGCTAGCACTGCCGACCTTGTCCGAGGAGTTTCCTTCCGCTCCCTCAACTCCCACTTTCCCAGGGAGGGGAGGGGGCCGGGGGCACCGGCGACAGTTGCGGGGAAGGAAGTGGAATCTCGCCTTTGGGAAAGCCCGGGCGGAGAGCTGAGGGCTCGCCGTCTCACCTTGGCTGACGTCCGCGAGGACTCCCTCTCGGAGCAAGGTTCAGGTCCAAGTACCAAGGCTCTGCGGGACCAAGGGGCGGGTCCTGCCCAGAAAGGGCCCCTCACCCCGCGGGCGGTCAGGGCCGTTCTTGAGGGCTGCCCTCCGGCCGCCTGACTGGAAAACCAGGCACTCCACCCCCTCCTCTCCGGGCCCCCGTCCTCCCCCGGAGAATACGACCTTTCGGCCATGTTAGCCAGGAGCGAGGGGCAGGGCTAAGGGGCCGGCGGCCACTCGGCATCTGGGTTTTAGTCAGGCAGTGCTCCAGGCGCCTGGCTGCCAGGCTACGGGAGAAAAGTCCTCCGCTCGGCCGCACCCGTTAGAGGCGCTCTCCACTGCTGTCCTCTTCAGCTCAAGATGGTGGCCTGCCGGGCGATTGGCATCCTCAGCCGCTTTTCTGCCTTCAGGATCCTCCGCTCCCGAGGTGAGGCCTGGCCGAGGGCATCCCAGACCTCCGGGCAGAACTCCTGCCGGGACTGGGGTGGCCCCGGAGCCGCGTCTCCCTTTCGCTGCCGCCTGCCCCAGCCCGGAGACGCAGCCCTCTGTGGGGATACTGCCCTGGGACCCGGTTTCCCGTGACCTTCTGAAGAGACTGTCACTTCCCCTCTCACGACTCCTGCGGCGATTTCAGGCTTCCTAACTCCCCAACTTTCTGAGTCTGGTGCCACTCGTTCTGTCACCTTTCCGCGGGTCTCTTGCGTCGCACTTCTGGGCTCACGCCCCTCATATTTTCTTGATCCGGAGTTCCAGGAGAATCGGGATCCATTCTGTCGCATCTTTGTGGCTCCACAGCACCTTGCCCCGCAACAAGAGCTGTCTTAAAAACAGCACCTTACCCCGCAACAAGCGCTGTCTTGTATGGGATTAATCAGCCTTGCAGATCACTGCCCCTCCCTGCTCCGTTCCCTCAAAACCATTTTTGTGCTTACTACCCCAATCAAGTAGGGAGCTCAACTCTTGCAGTTTCAGTAATGTCAGTGTGAACGTATAGTATTTTGAATTTCAGCGGGAAGTTCTGCAACTTACTGGAAGACACACTTTAAAAATACGCTAATACCTCTACCTTAAGCAATAAAATGTTAGATCGTTCTGAGAACGATTTGTAATCTGATGATTCCCAGTCAGCCTGTATTAGCTAGTGTTTTTCCTTTTCAAACTGGCAGTGAAAGGGTTAAAGTGGGTGGTTGTAGGAAACGTTGCATTTTCTTTCCATCCCAAATCTGTAAAGTCAAAAGTGGACAACGTTTTATTGCATGTTGTGCTTAATAAGTTACTTAACTAGAAATTTTAACTTTTAATTTAATTTGTAATATGAATTACCTCTCTTCCCTCTTCCGGAACCGCTGAAGTAGTATGCTTTTTTTAGACAAGTAGCTGAAATCCCTTACTGTAAGGGGATTTTTTTAATGATTGAATATTTTTCTGCTCCCTTTTTTCAACAGCTGTTTTTAGTCTCCACAAAACTGTAGCATGTATTTGCCAATTATAACATAAGCACATTATAGAACATTGAAATGCTGTAAGGATTGAGGAAAGAGATGAAAAAAAAACGAATCACCCATTGTCTTACTACTCATATGCTTACCTACGGTTAGCCTTCGGTTATGTTTCCTTACAGGTTTGGTGGTTTTTTTCCCCTATTTTCACAACACTTTTGAAAAGTAACGTGTAATTTTTATCTTACCCCTGCATTGGTTTGAAGGTATTTCTTATGGATCGGCAGCTGATGTCACTCGGAAGTGGTAGCCAGGGCACGTGGTTCTAGTCACTAGCTGTGTTACTTTGGACAAATGCCTTAAACTAAATGGGCTTTATTTTCCTCATCTGCAAAATGAATGATTGAGATGATGGATTTCCTTTGCATGAGAAGTAGCATGACAGAGCAATTAATAAACATTGTTTGGGCCGGGTGCGGTGGCTCACGCCTGTAATCCCAGCACTTTGGGAGGCCCAGGCGGGCGGATCACGAGGTCGGGAGATCGAGACCATCCTGGCTAACACGGTGAAACCCCGTCTCTACTAAAAATACAAGAAATTAGCCGGACGTGTTGGTGGGCGCCTGTAGTCCCAGCTACTCGGGAGGCTGAGGCAGGAGAATGGCGTGAGCCCGGGAGGCGGAGCTTGCAGTGAGCCGAGATCGCGCCACAGCACTCCAGCCTGGTCCTCCGTCTCAAAAACAAACAAACAAACAAAAAAAACATTGTTTGGAGTCTGACTTCTGGGTTTGGACCTGGCTCTGCCTTTTACCCTCTGATGACCTTGGGCAATTAATTTCTGTGTTTGTTTTCTCATTTGTAAAATGGGGAATAATACCACCTTGTGTGATGAAAAGGAGTTATTTTAGATATCAAGCAGTTTTTCATGGAGTAAGCACTCAGTAAATATTATTAACTCCAGCCTGGAAGAAATACGATTGTATATATCTGAGAGTTTTTAAAAGTAATTTGTACATCTTATGTGTGTAATAAAAAGCTACCAACCTAATTTTTCTGTTTTCTGTATAGAAATATATAGACACATAAATATATACTTTGCATTGTGTTTTCACCAGTAAGAAAGTATCATTCGTTGTAGTTACTGATCCCTTAATAGCAATTTATAAATTTTGAAAAAAAGTCTGGAAAGTGAATTTAAAATGACCTGCACCCTTATATTACTATTTAGACTCAATAGATCCTTCACAGTAAAAGTCTGTGCAAGGCTTTGCCAAACATTTAATGAGATTATGACCTTTGCTGGTGGATGATAAAATTCTCTTGAAAGGGGCCAGGCACGGTGGCTCATGCCTATAATCCCAGTATATTGGGAGGCCAAGGCGGGCAGATCACTTGAGGTCTAGCCTGGCCCACATGGTGAAACCCCATCTCTACCAAAAAATACCAGAATTGGCCAGGTGTGGTGGCACACGTCTGTAATCCCAACTACTCGGGAGGCTGAGGTGGGAGAATCGCTTGAACCCAGGAGGTGGAGGTTGCAGTGAGCCAAGATCACACCTGGAGGACAGAATGAGACCATATCTCAAAAAAAAAAAAATTATCTTGAAGGAGACTTGTAATTCTTGAAATTTTAAAGCATTCCTTCTCTACAAGTGCTATAATTCTGAATGTGAATATCAAATGAAAATCACTTCTTGACCAGAGTATGTTGTCTAATTCCCACTCCTATCCTAAATCTAAATTCCTAATTAGGTATTTAGTAGTAAATAGGTATTAGTAGTAAAATAATTTCACAGGAGATGAATTTAGAGGCAAATACCTTAATAGATGGTTTTTTTGTTTGTTTGTTTTTTCGGTTTTTTTTTTGGAGACGGAGTCTCACTGTGTCACCCAGCCTGGAGTGCAATGGTGCGCTCTTGGCTCACTGCAACCTCCGCCTCCCGGGTTCAAGTGATTCTCCTGTCTCAGCCTCCAGAGTAGCTGGGATTACAGGCTCCTGCCACCACGCCCAGCTAACTTTTTTTTTGTTTTTTTTTTTTTGTTGTTGTTGTTGTATTTTTAGTAGAGACGGGGTTTCGCCATGTCAGCCAGGCTGGTCTCTAACTCCCGACCTCAGGTGATCCAGCCACCTCAGCCTCCCAAAGTGCTGGGATTACAGGCGTGAGCCACCGCGCCCGGCCATAGATTGTGTATTTTTAAATTTGATTCTCACTTCCTTAATCTCGTCGCTTCTCCCAGTGTTGAATCTTGAGAAAAGCTGTTGATTATTACAACCAAAGTAATGTTTTCAAATTTGAAATTTATGTTAGCATAATCCAGCTCTCTTCGCTGACTGTAGTCTTATGAGGTTTTGTAGTTATTCTTGGGTTACATTACAAAGATGATTAAAAAGTGGGGCAAAGGTTTCTCTCTACTTTGCTGGCACAGTAGATGTAGGCTAAAGTTCACTCAGCTGCCATAGGGTAAGCTCTGCAGTTAGGTAGTGAGTAAGGCTAGACTCCAAAAGCAAAGCTACCTTGCAGTGTGACTTGATTTGGTTGACTCTGGTTTGGAATTATTTTCGAAGTATGTTCATGTATATACTGGTTTTCTATTTGTTTCTATTTGTCTTGATCTTGGAGAGGTTTTGTGTATGAGTGTGTGGGCAGCATAGGTAGGTTAGTGGACAGGAGTTAAAATGGTTTAAACTGTTGGCTAATGACCACTAACCTGTTATCTCAAATATTTGATCTTTAAAACTGCAACCCAGTGGGGCATAGTGGCACATGCCTGTAATCCTAGCTACTCCGGAAGATTACTTGAGCCCAGGAGTTCAAGACCAGCCTGGGCAACATAGGGAGACCTCGTCTCAAAGAAAAAAAATGTTTTTGAAATATTGCAACCCATGCTCACTCTATTTCCTTTTTTTGCTTAGGTGCTTATTTTCTAACATATTTGTGTTTCTTGGTTTTTCCCTCTCAACCTGCATTCCCAATCAGTTCATTCCCACTCTAATCCACTTTACCCTGTTTTGCTAGAATTACCTATCCCCTTCTTCCCTTCCCACTGGAATTTCTACTTTGCAGGAAAACTTTTTCTATGCCAGGCCTATTTTCACTTTTCATTTATCTTCACTGAGTAGGAACTGATTCTTCCCAGATATCATATCCCCTGCTGACCTGGAATGTAAGCTCCACCAAGACAGGGATTTTTGTCTTTTTTGTTCACCCTGAATGTCCTGCTGTACTCCAAGTGCCTAGAACAGTGAATGGCACATGGAGGTCACAATATATGTTTTTGTTGAATGAATAACAGATTATGTTGGAAAAGATTACAATGTGGTTGGTGAAACACCTGCTACAGATGCAGCAGTTAGAGGACAGAACATTAAATAATAAAATAAAAATGCAGGCAAGGAAAGGAAGGATCACTGTAGACAGAATCCGAAGATGAGGTTTTGTGGAAAAGAGTGGAGTCATGATGCAAATATAAAGAAGGAAGAGTGGTAAATACAGATGACACAGATTTCAAATGATGGAAAAGCAAAGCAGGAAACATACTATTAGTCAAGTAGAGGCACTGGGGATTGAGGAGATGGCTGGCTTCTCCCATCTTAAAACACTGAAGTTCACTTGTAAGAGACTTGTTCACAGTCACACAGCTAGTAAATAAACCTGATGGTTGAACACAAGTCCTTTGCCTTTGCACTAAGTCGGCTGGCTTGGATTGCTTAAAGAAGAAATGCAGGCAGAACCTGAAATCACCCCATTCTGCTTCTGGTGCTAACCACAGTTTTCTTTCTTTTTTTTTTTTTAATGTGTCACCTTGCCTTTCCAACCAGTATAAAGCTGCTATTTTTTGTGCCTTCTCTTCCCTTTCCATAAGGAACTGGGGGATAAAGAGAAAATACGGAGGCAGCAAGAGCCTTGGCAACCTACTGATGATCCTCCCCTATTCCACTCCACCTTCACTGGGTTCTCCAGTCAGTAGTTCCCATGTGCCTCTTACATTGCTATCTCTTTGGTTCTCTTTGCTTCCCTCTTCCCTTTTGTGATTACACTGGGCCCACCTGGATAATCCATGATAAACTTTCTTTATTAAGGCCAACTGATTAGCAACTTTAATCCCCCCTTTGCCGTGTAACCTAACATATTCACAGGTTCTGGGGATGTATATCCCTTTGTGGGGGCCAGTCTTCCTCTTTTAGTATCCAAATAATCATCTGACCTAACAACTGAAATGGAAAAAATATGGCAGTAGTCATATGGCCTAGAATACATTGTACAGATTTGGGGTTTTTGTTGTTGTTATTATTGTAAATTACAGCTTTGTTATATATAAAAGGTACTACAGAAATTGTTTCGCAAATTAATTTTGAAATGTCTTTTCTTACAGGTTATATATGCCGCAATTTTACAGGGTCTTCTGCTTTGCTGAGTAAGTTTAATTTCTTTTTAATGTGTATGCTTACATTGCTTTTTGGATTTATGTTGCAATAAATATGTTTACAAATAAATCTTTCTTTTCTTTTTAGCCAGAACCCATATTAACTATGGAGTCAAAGGGGATGTGGCAGTTGTTCGAATTAACTCTCCCAATTCAAAGGTATCTCATTTAATTTGCAGTTTTTTTCTGCTAACCGCATTATGAATCTAGTCCTGAATGGGAAAGATGTATCCCATATTTCCCCAAATCTACCAATCTGGCAGTAATCTTACATGAATTTACAGTTTTGACAGTTATGTTAAACTTTGACAGATTGCCAAGGGAGCCAGTTTTCTAAAGCAGAGGTTCTTGCGTAAGAATTCCTCTTGTTGACCTTAGGTGCCACCAGCCTCCTGGTTATAGTGTAGAATGAGGAGGTGACTTATTAGAGAAGAACCAGAGTACAAGCTTTGTTTATAAGACTCAAAATTTGCCTACCCATCTTAAATATGAGGTTGTTAATCCATTTTCTTCATTACTTGCCTGACATAAGTCACTATTCATAGTAAGTTGGCTGAGTGAAATGTGGATACTTGGCTCTTAAGCTTCCTGAGGGATCTGAATGACTCAATGCAATTCACATATTGGAAATCAAGTTCTGTTCGAATTGAAACTTCTTTTGTTTTTGGCAGCTTCAATAAAGTGTGTAACAGTAATCCATTCTTTTGCCAAGAAGAGCTTTATTGTGAGAGTCCATGCTTTTCCCCCATCTAAATTTGGTGTATTCTTACTTTAAAAATCTTGTAGCCAGGCTGGGCACTGTGGCTCACACCTATAATCCCAACACTGGATGGCCGAGGCAGGAGGATCACTTCAGCCCAGGAGTTTGAGACCACCCTGGGCAACATAGCAAGACCTTGTCTCTATAAAAAATAAAAAATAGTTGGGTATGGTGATGTTCACCTGTAGTGCTAGCTACTCTGAAGGCTGAGGTGGAAAGATCACTTAAGCCTAGGAATTCAAGGTTACAGTGAGCTATGATTGCACCACTGCACTCCAGCCTGGGCCACAGAGCAAGACCTTGTCTCTCTAAAAAACAACAACAACAAACTTATAGCCAGAGGCTTAGATGTAATAAGACCTAGATGGAAGCAGTTGACAACTATCACAAATTAAGGTAAATAAGAGCCATTCCCCTTTACTAGAGTAAATTTTAGCACTCACTAACCAATGATTCAAGCTTAAGATATTTTTTCAGAATTTTCTTAGGTTGGACATTTTTCCTGAACACAAAAGTAATATATGTCAATGGTAGAAAATTTTTCAACTATAAAAAATTATAAAGAAGAAAATAATAAACATTCATAATTCAAACCTAAAGATAACCACATCTTTTTCTTGGTATCTTCCATGGGATAATCACATTTAATTCAGTTTCAATGAATAATATTTACAAAACTAAGATCATACTATATGGTTTTTTTTGAAGATAGGGTCTCATTCTGTTGCCTAGGCTGGAGTGCAGTGGCACAGTCACAGGTTAGTGCAGCTTCAGCCTCCCCAGGCTCAGGTGATCCTCCCACCTAAGCCTCCTGAGTAGCTGGGACTATAGGCGTGTGCTGTCAGGCCCGGCTAATTTTTGTATTTTCTGTAGAGGCAAGGTTCCATTATGTTGCCCAGGCTGGTCTCGAACTCCTGAACTCAAGTGATCCGCCCACCTTGGCCTCCCAAAGTGCAGGGATTACAGGGATGAGCCACCATGCCTGGCCTATATGTCTTATTTGTATTTCATTTTTTTCTTAACATTATGCAGATTTTTTCCATGCCAATAAATGTTTGTAGACCTATTTGTTTATAGCCTACATATGATTCAAACTCTGAGGATGACCCTGAGTTTCTCCTTTGAGAAGACCTATTTTTAAAGGAAGGGGTGCTTGTAGTGGGCCAAAGCTGCCTGAATAGAAAGCTACTGACTTGCTGGGAGAATGATATTTCTTACTCTCTTCTAACAGTATATTTCTGCCGGATAAGTATATTTCTTATAATCAAAATAGCATTTGATGGTGGTACGTACATCCAGTGCTTCAAATTTAAACCCTTACCTGTATATATTTCCCTTTGGCAGGTAAATACACTGAGTAAAGAGCTACATTCAGAGTTCTCAGAAGTTATGAATGAAATCTGGGCTAGTGATCAAATCAGAAGTGCCGTCCTTATCTCATCAAAGCCAGGCTGCTTTATTGCAGGTGCTGATATCAAGTAAGTTTTAGGAAACTTGAAGTCACCTTTTATCTTGGTTAATAGTGTGTTTCTTAGGCCTAATAATTTCTCCTTTTAAAAGAAAGTAGAAGTGCTGGGCACAGTGACACAGGCCTGTAAAATTGAAAATGTACGTATCAGGCTGGGTGTGGTGGTTCTTGCCTGTAATCCCAGCACTTTGGGAGGCCGAGGCAGGTGGATCACATGAGGCCAAGAGCTCAAGACCAGCCTGGCCAACATGGTGAAACCCTGTCTCCACTAAAAATACAAAAATTAGGCATGGTGGCACACGCTTGTAATCTCAGCTACTCAGGAGGCTGTGGCACGAAAATCCCTTGAACCTGGGAGGCAGAGGTTGCAGTGAGCCGAGATCACACCACTGCACTCCAGCCTGGGTGACAGAGTGAGACTGTCTTAAAAAAAAAAAGTATATACACACACACACACACACACACACACACACACACACACACAGAGTATATATATATATATATACACACACACACACACACACATCATGTGATCTAGAGAAATCTCACCCCTTGTTTATAAGAACCAGTGTACAAGGATGTTTGGTCCTGTGTAGTGTGAAATAATGAAGAATTTAAAACCAAATGTCAGTCAGTAGGAAAATGGGTAAGTAAAATGTGGACTATTCACACAATAGAATACTACAAAACAGGTAAAAGGAATTAACTAGATCCACAATATGATGTTAGAACTCAAAAACATAAGGTTAAGTTAAAAGAAAAGCAAATTGCAGAATGTTTCATACAGTATATAGTTTCTATAAATGTTTTAAAACCAAACATGGAATAATTCTTGATACTATTTATGGACACAATCGTAGTTGGTCTGGAAGGAGACACTACAAACATGAAGATGGCTGCTTTGGGGAAATGAAGTGGGTGGTAGGACTTGATTGTTAAAGGCAGCTTTACAGATGCAGCTAGTATTTTCTTTTCCTCTGCTAAATGGTGGAATGCATGCCTACATTAACTTATTTACAATTGTTTACACATACATAAGGAGGGGAAATGATATTTTAGTGTCAGTTTAATAGGTTAAAATGTTAAGTTGTCAATTCCATTAAAATATGGGTATTTGTTATGTTCTTTGTATTTTAGACAATGATAGCCAGCATTGTAGGTTTAGTAATTTGTACTGAAAGTGTAATTATTTATGTGTAGTAATCAGTCTCTTGTTAGGCACAAATAATTCAGCTAGAAGAAAAACCACTTGATAAGATAATTTTGGGTCTTCTAAAAAATTAACATTAAACAGAACATTTATAAAGTCTAACAAGACACTGATGTACCTGGCAGTAGCTACCTATATCCAGAGGAAAATACATGTAGCTTCTATGAGGCCAGCTGAGCAACTCTCAGTGTATAAAATTACAGAATATACTAGTTATCCTTGGTCAAAAGTACAAAATCCATATCCTAAGTGTGTTCACAAAATAGCAAATGAAACAAACTGAAATTAAAGGACATTGAGTGGAACATCATTGCACCTGATCATTTTTATTTACTTATTTATTTTTGAGACGGAGTCTCCCTCTGCTGTCCAGGCTGGAGTACAGTGGTGCGATCTCGGCCCACTGCAACCTCCACCTCCCAGGTTCCAGTGATTCTCTCGCCTCAGCCTCCCGAGTAGCCAGGACTACAGGAATGCAGCACCACGCCCAGCTAATTTTTGTATTTTTAGTAGAGACGCGGTTTCACCATGTTGACCAGCCTGGTCTCGAACTCCTGACCTCAGGTGATCCACCTGCCTTGGCCTCTCAAAGTGCTGGGATTACAGGCATGAGCCACCATGCCTGGCCTACCTGGTCATTTTTATTCATTAGTGGGATCTGTTAAAATGTTTTAGATTTCTCTAAACAACCTGGAAGCTTTTCTTTTGCGTCATTTTTATTGCTGTTAACTACCTGATAGTGAAATGTTTAATCTGATAGTGAAGTAATTTACCAAAGATGATTTTCCCTTGTACCAAGCTTTGTAATTTAATGATTTATTACAGAAGTAAAAATAAATTATGCAACACATTTATGTTTTCTGGATCCAGAATTTTTTTTTTTTTTTTTGAGACAGAGTCTCACTCTGTCGCCCAGGCTGGAGTGCAGTGGCGCGATCTCGGCTCACTGCAAGCTCCACCTCCCGGTTTCACACTGTTCTCCTGCCTCAGCCTCCCAAGTAGCTGGGACTACAGGCGCCCGCCACTATGCCCAGCTAATTTTTTGTATTTTTAGTAGAGACGGGGTTTCACCGTGTTAGCCGGGATGGTCTCATGGATCCAGAAGTTTAACACTCTTTATGGAGAAATGATGTTGCTGCTATTGTGCTATTTGAAGCAAAATCATTCTTAACCTTCTATTTGAAGATTTGTCATCAAATATTGATGCATGATAGGATAAGTGTATAGTGAATAAGTATTGAACCAAATAAATTATAGTTTTATCTTTTTCTCTGTTCTCTACTTTTATGGATAATGCAGCATGTTAGCCGCTTGCAAGACCCTTCAAGAAGTAACACAGCTATCACAAGAAGCACAGAGAATAGTTGAGAAACTTGAAAAGTCCACAAAGCCTATTGTGGCTGCCATCAATGGATCCTGCCTGGGAGGAGGACTTGAGGTATAGATATTCTAAAGTTATTGAGACACTGTCCAACTCATTGGTGGCATTCATCAGCTGTAAACCCTTAGGCTACTGCTTTGCCTGGAAAAAGTTTCTGGAGGAGAATCCGCTTTGTTTTTTGTTTTTTGCTTTGAGACGGAATTTTGCTCTTGTCTCCCAGGCTGGAGAGCAATGGCACGATCTTGGCTCACTGCAACCTCTGCCTCCTGGCTTCAAACAATTCTCCTGCTTCAGCCTCCCCAGTAGCTGGGATTACAGGTGTGCATCACCATGCCCAGCTAATTTTTGTATTTTTAGTAGAGATGGGGTTTCACCATGTTGGCCAGGCTGGTCTCAAACTCCTGACCTCAGGTGATCCTCCCGCCTCGGCCTCCCAAAGTGCTGGGATTACAGGTGTGAGCCACTGTGCCTAAATAGCTTTGTTTTTAGTTATCAAACTTCTGGATAGGTGTTAATCCTTAATCCACATGACACAGAGCAAGTGGCACAAAGCAAGTAAATGAAGGTGTGATGTTTTCATTTGAACTGCATCTCTAATGTCCTTTTCAGCTGTAAAAATCTTGTTCAAGTTTGCAGGGCAAAGATTCAGAAGTGTGATCTAGGCTCTTAAGCTACTTAAGTCTGGTTGAGACACATAAAGCATAATATAAGTGCTTTGTCAGTAGTAAAGACGGTAAATAATAGAAGATTTGAGAGAAGAGATGCTTACTAGACCCGAACATGTAGGAAAGAAAAGAAGGGGAAAAGGAAACATTCATTGAGCACTTTTCACATGCTGAACTCTGTGCCAGACACTTTCACATATGCAGTCATTTACCACATAACGTTTCAATGACCAATTGCACATACAGCAGTGGTTCTATAAGACTGTAACACTACATTTTTCTATACCTTTTCTGTGTTTAGATACAGAAATGCTTATCACTGTGCCACAGTTGCCTACAGTATTCAATAGTCACATGCAGTCCAGGTTTGTAGCCCCTTAGGACAGGGGTCCCCAGTTCCCAGGCCATAGCCTGTTAGGAACTGGGCCCCACAGCAGGAGGTGAGCAGTGGGCGAGTGAACATTACCACCTGAGTTCCGCCTCCTGTCATATCAACAGTGGCATTAGATTCTCATAAGAGCTGGAACCCTGTTGTGAACTGCACATGAGAGGGATCCAGGTTGCGCACTCCATTGGCCTCTATTGCCTGATGATTTGAAGTGGAACAGTTTCATCCTGAAACCACTCCCTCCCACCCCACCCCCAGTTCTTGGAAAAATTGCCTTTCACAAAACCTGTCCCTGGCGTCAAAAAGGTTGGGGACTGCTGGACTAGGAGCAATAGGCTATCCCATATAGCCTAGATGTGTAGCAGGCTCTGCCATCTGGGTTTGTGTAAGTACACTCTGCGATGTTCACACAACAACAAAATTTCCTAATGGTACATTTCTCAGAACATATCCCCCTCATTATGTGACACATGACTATATTAATTAAGAAAACCTGTGCCTGGTCCTAAACTATAAGCAGAATTTGATTAACCAGAATATGGAGGGAAAAACAATTCCGCATATGGTATGGTGTGAGCAAAGGCAAAAGCAAAGCCAACTAGGACACTGTAAGTAGACGTGCTTGATTGGAGAGTCCGGGGCTTTTTAACCTGGGGTCCATATAAAATTGTGTGTGCATTTTTCTCTTGAGAGCTTCTCTAGCTTTCAGTAGATTTTTTAGGAGATCTACGGCCCAAAAAGAGGTTAGTAAATTAGAGGAAAAGTATGAAAAAAAGGCTAAAAAGGTAAATTCTAGAAATTATTAAATGCCAGCCTAAGGAATTTCAGTTTATTCTGTGAGCACATTCCTGCTTTATAAATAATCTTTAGACCCTTATCCATCTCAAGTTGCTACTAAGTTACATTTTCTAACATTCTAATTTTCTTTCATTTGTTCAAAGGTTGCCATTTCATGCCAATACAGAATAGCAACAAAAGACAGAAAAACAGTATTAGGTACCCCTGAAGTTTTGCTGGGGGCCTTACCAGGAGCAGGAGGCACACAAAGGCTGCCCAAAATGGTGAGTCTAACATCCCCTTTGTGAAGCTATATGCCCTCTTTAGATCTGTTTTCTTGTATAAAATGCATAATATGGGCATTCATTGTAGAATTAAAAAACCAAATAAAATATGAGTGTACAGGATCAGTGACAGACTTTATTCCTGGTACTTATTTTTTCAATTCCACAGATTTTTTTTTTTTTTTTTTTTTGAGACAAAATCTTGCTCTGTAGCCCAGGCTAGAGTGCAGTGGTGTGATCTCAGCTCACTGCAACCTTCTCCTCCCAGGTTCAAGCGATTCTCCTGCCTCAGCCTCCCCAGTAGCTGGAATTACAGGCGTGCACCACTGCACCCAGCTAATTTTTTATATTTTTTAGTAGAGATGGAGTTTCGCCATGTTGGCCAGGCTGGTCTTGAACTCCCGACCTCAGGTAATCCTCCCGCCTCAGCCTCCCAAAGTGCTAGGACTACAGGCATGAACCACCATGCCTGGCCTAATTCCACAGAATTATTGATCAAGGTCCTTTGTTAGTCTCTGAGGAAGGATAAAGATAACTAAGATGCATGTCTTGCATTTCTGGAGCTTATGGTTTAATTGGTTCCTTTTCCACATAATACCATCTTAACAGTTTTTCAAAACCATGAGTCATATTAATATTTCATTACAAATATAAGAGGCAGACCTTTTCCCTCATTGTCTGATTTGGATGTTCTCACTGCTGTGTTGTATGGAACCAAAAGAGGCTCAGCAGGCTTTGAATTCCAAGGAGAAGGGAAGGACAGTCAGACCTGGATGCTGCAGAGCAATCTTAATGTCAACTCAAGGGCCCACTGAACCTTATAGCTTCTGGCACTGTAGATTCCTCAGTGAAAACAAGGCTCAACAGAAATACTCTTTGCAGGGAAGTTGATCTCAATTGAGCACAAAAGAAAACAAGGTTTATGGTGTTAATTTTCTAATAATAATAATGTGCTTTCCTTCATAGGAATGTCATAAGGATTTATTGAAAGAATGAATATGCATATATGTGTATCAAAAATATTTGCTGAGTTTCTTTCTTTCTTCTTTTTTTTTTCTTAAACTATAGCTGGTATTTGAATGTTGCTAGAAGCCTTTCTTCTAGTATGCCATATAAGCAGCCCTAGCTGAGTTCTATTTTTGTTAAGCTTAAAATTCTTTTTAAAGACTTTGTCAAAACTATCAGGTTTCTCACAGTCTTCTCTAGTTTCAATATGAGAATTTTATTTTATTTTATTTTTGGGACAGAGTCACTTTTGTTGTTCAGGCTGGAGTACAGTGGCATGATCTCGGCTCACTGCAACCTCTGCCTCCGGATTCAAGCAATTCTTGTGCCTCAGCCTCCCAAGTAGCTGGAATGACAGGTGTGCCCCACCATGCCCAGCTAATTTTTTGTATTTTTAGTAAAGACAGGGTTTCACCATGTCGGGCCAGGCTGGTCTCAAACTCCTAACCTCAGGTGACCCGCCTGCCTTGGCCTCCCAAAGTGCTGGAATTACAGGTGTGAGCCACCGTGCCTGGCCAGAATTTTACATATTATATATATGATAGAAAAAAACCCCTCAGAATAACAGAAATGTACAATTTTAGGAAACATGAAATTCTTTACCTTATTAGTATAAGAATCCTATATATTGAATTAAGAGATAAAGACATTTTTGCTTCAGCTAGAGGTATCTAATCCCCAAAGTTACCCAAGTGTATATCAGTATATTAAATATAACTTATCTATGCTGTTGACAAATAGCATAAACATATGGCTTGACTTTTCTCATTTTAATATTTGTTCATTTGATGATTTGTAAACTATATAATTATCACCCTGATTTTTTTCCCCCTATATTCTCATCCTTGCTTGCCTGTTAGGTGGGTGTGCCTGCTGCTTTGGACATGATGCTGACTGGTAGAAGCATTCGTGCAGACAGGGCAAAGAAAATGGGACTGGTTGACCAACTGGTGGAACCCCTGGGTAAGTGTTAGCACATCTCAGAGTCAGACCTTATAAAGTTACTTATTTTCTTAAAGAGTTAACCTCTTAGGCCAGGCACGGTGGCTCACACCTGTAATCCCAGCACTTTGGGAGGCTGAGGCGGGAAGATCACTTGAGGTCAGGAGTTTGAGACCAGCCTTGCCAACATGGCGAAACCCTGTCTCCACTAAAAATGATTAGCCGGGTGTGGTGGTGCAAACCTGTAGTTCCAGCTACTTGGGAGGCTGAGGCAGGAGGATCGCTTGAACCTGGCGGGGCTGAGGTTGCAGTGAGCCAAGATCATGCCATTGTGCTCCAGCCTGGGCAACAGAGCCAGACTCCCATCTCAAAAGAAAAAACAGTTAACCTCTTGAATATCACAGGAAGCACAGAGAGAAGCTCAAACTCTTAAGAAATGAGTCATTATTCTAAGGAAGGAAGTTTTATAAAATAGCTAATACTAAATCATTTTCAACATCACCCTGATTTTTATTTTGCTTTATAATTAGAACATTAGGAGTACAGAATTCAGTCAAGTCATTATTTTTGGTTCTTAAATTACCTGTATCATTATCCATGCATAACCTTCCTTCAGTTTCTTGTGTCTGTTTTAGTAATATAATAAATGAAACAACCAACCTGAGAATATTAACAATAATTGATATCTACTGATGGGCTACTTCCTCCCATTCAGTTTCTTTGCCTCCCTTTATCCAAAGAAGCCACTATTCTGACTTGTGTGTTCATTACCCTCTTATATTTATTGAAAATCAGCATTATTGAGATATTACTTACATAATAGTAAATGTATTAATTTTGTGTGTGTGTGTGTGTGTGTGTGTGCGCGCGCACACATGTTGGGGTCTCACTCTGTTGCTCAGACTGGAATATGGTGGTGTGAATATAGCTTGTTGCAACCTCAACTTTTTGGGCTCAAATGATCTTCCCACTTGTGCCCCCCGAGTAGCTGAGACCACAGGCATACGCTGCTACACCAGCTAATTTTTTATTTTTTGTAGAAACGAGATCTCACTCTGTTTTCCAGGCTAGTCTCAAACTCCGGGCTCAAGTAATCCTCCTCCCTCAGCCACCCAAAGTGCCGAGATTTACAGGTGTGAGCCACTGTGTCTGGTGAAATTGACCAACTTTTAATGTATAATTTGAGTTTTGAAAATGTATATAGCTGTGTAAACACTGCCACAATCCAAAAATAGCCGTGCATGGTGGCTCACACCTGTAATCATAGCATTTTGGGAGGCTGAGGTGGGAGAATTGCTTGAGGCCTGGAATTCAAGACCAGCCTGGACAACAGAGCAAGATCCTATCTCTTAAAAAAGAATTTTTTTTTTTCAATTAGCTGGGTATCATAGTGTATACCTGTAGTCCCAGCTAGTCAGGAGGCTGAGACAGGAATATTGTTTGAGCCCAGAAGTTCAAGGCTGTAGTGAGCTATGATCACACCACTGCACTCCAGCCTGAGCAACAGAGTGAGATGCCATCTTTTAAACAAAAATTTTTAAACATTTCTGGTATGTAGTTTGTTTTAATCTTCGTTCACTTAGCATAATGCTTTTGAGATGCATCCATACTGTTGCATATATCAGCAGTTTGTCCTTATTGCTGAGTGTTACTCCATTGTAGAAATGTACCATAGTTTGTTTATCCGTTCACCAAATGATGAGCATTTGAGTTGTTTCTAATTTAGGGCTATTCTGAATAAAGCTGCTATGAACATTCATCTTTAAGTCTTTATGTGGGCGTGACTGGGCGTGGTGGCTCAAGCCTCTAATCCCAGCACTTTGGGAGGCTGAGGCAGGCTGATCACCTGAGGTCAGGAATTCAACACCAGCCTGACCAACATGGCGAAACCCCATCTCTACTAAAAATACAAAAATTAGCTGGGTGTAGTGGTGTGCACCTGTGGTCCCAGCTACTTGGGAGGCTAAGGTAGGAGAATCACTTGAACCCAGGAGGTGGAGGTTGCCGTGAGCCAAGATTGTGCCACTGCACTCCAGCCTGGGTGACAGAGCGAGACTCTGTCTCAAAAAAAAAAAAAGTCTTTATGTGGACAAATGTTTCATTTCTGTTGGGTAAGTACTGAAGAGTGGATTGGCTAGTCCATATAACAGATATATATTAGCTTTTGAAAAAAAAAGTTTGGCCTGAGCAACATAGCAAGACTCTGTCTCAACAAAATAAAAAGTTTTAACTAGTTGGGTGTGGTGGCACATGCCTGTAGTCCTGGCTACTAGGGAGGCTGAGGCAGGAGGATTGCTTGAACCCAGGAGTTTGAAGTCACATGGAGCTATGATCAGGCCACTGCACTCCAGCCTGGGTGAGAGAGGGAGACCTTATCTCTGGGAAGAAAAAAAAAAAATTTAGAGATGAGACTTTGAGTCTTGCTCTGTCACCCAGGCTGGCCTCAGACTCCTGGGCTCAAGCAGTCTTCCTGCCTCAGCCTCCCAAGAAGCCGGGATTACGAGGCATATGCCACTAGTATTTGCTAGGTATGTGTTTGCTTTTCTGTCAGACTGTTTTCCCAAAGTGGTTATACTCTTTTGCATTCCCACCAGCAGTGTATGAGAGTTCTAGGTACCAACCACTTTGCATGGTCAATCTTTTTAATTTTAGACATTCTAACAGGAATGTAGTAACAGTTCTTTTTTCTTTTTTTTTTTTTGAGACAAAGTCTCGCTCTGTTGCCCAGGCTGGAGTGCAGTGGAACAATTTTGGCTCACTGCAACCTCTGCCTGCCAGGTTCAAGCGATTCTCCTGCCTCAGCGTCCCAAGTAGCTGGGACTACAGGCGCCCACCACCATGTCCAACTAATTTTTGTATTTTTAGTAGAGATCGGGTTTTACCATGTTGTCAGGGCTGGTCTCAAACTCCTGACCTCAAGTTATCCCCCTGCCTTGGCCTCCCAAAGTGCTGAGATTACAGGCGTGTGCCACCACACCCAGCTGGAATTAGTCATATTTCATTGTGGTTTTTATATTACCCTAATTACCAAAGATATTGAATATCTGTATATCTTATTTGATAAAGAAGCATCTGTTCAAATTTTTTGCCCATTTTCTTGGACTGAGTGTTTTTCCTATTATCGAGTTTTCAGAGTTCTTTATATATTAGGATATGAGTCCTTTATCAAATATATGATTTGCAAATATTTCCTCACAGTCTCTGGCTTATCTTTTCACTATATAAGAGCAGAAATTCTTAATTTTAATGAAGTCTGGTTTATCAAGTTTCTCTTTTATGGATCATGCTATTAGTGTGGTATCTAAAAAATATTTCTCTAACTCAAGATCACTAAGTTTTCCTGTATACTTTCTTCTAGAAATTTTCTAGTTTTAGCTCTTACATTTTGGTCTGTGATCCATTTGGAGTATTTATGGATCATGCTATTAGTGTGGGATCTAAAAAGTATTTTTCTAACTCAATATCACTAAGATGTTCCTGTATACTTTCTTCTAGAAATTTTCTAGTTTTAGCTCTTACATTTTGGTCTGTGATTCATTTCAAGTTTGTATATGGTGTGAGGTAAGGATTGAGGGCCTTTTCTTCCCTTTTTGCATATGAATATCCAAATGTCCTGGCACCATTTGTTGAGAAGACTACTATTTCCTCAGTGAACTACTTTGATCCCTTGATCAAAAATCAACTGACCTTATCTGTTTGGGCCAATTGGATTTCCTATTCCTAGTTATCTATATGTCTTTTTGTTAAACCAATACCACACTGTCTTGATTATTGTATTTTTATAGGGAATCCTGAAATTAAGCAGTATGAGTCCTCCAACTCAGGTCCCTTCTTTCAAAATTATTTTGCTCATACTAGTTCCTTTGCATTTGTGTACAAATTTTATAATCATTTTGTCCATATCTACAAAAATACCTGCTAGGATTTTTATTGGAATTGCATTGAGTCAGTATATAAATTTGGGGAGAATTGACAGCTTAAAAATATTGAGTCATTTCATCCATGAACATGGTAAAGTTCTCTGTTTATTTAGGTCTTTAAATTTCTCTCAGCAGTGTTTGGTACTTTTCAGTGAATAGATCTTGAACACATTTTGTTAAATTTATGCCTAGGTATTTCATACTTGTAGGCTGTTTTACTTTTTTAACTTTAATTTCTCACTAGAATATAGAAATACAAAGATTTTTGGACATGGACCTTGTATCTTGTGGTTTAGCTAAATTCATTTACTAGTTCTAGTAGCCTTTTTTATTAATAGATTCCTGAGGATTTTCTACATAGATAATTATGTTGTCTGTAAGTAAAGACAGTTTGACTTCTTTCTTTCCAATATAGATGTCATTTGTTTCTTTTTCTTGACTTACCACAATGTCTAAGACCTTTGTACAATACTGGATAGAAGTCATGAGAACAAGTATTGTCAACTTGTTCCCAGTCTTAGGAGGAAAGCATTCAGTATTAAGTATGATGTTAGTTGTAGGTTTTTCATATGTGCTCTTTATCAGGTTTGCTGAGAATGAGTATTGAATTTTGTCATGCCTTTTCTCCATCTACAGAGATAATTGTGGGGTTTTCTTCTTTTTTAGTCTATTAATAATGTCAGTCACATTGATTTTTGAATATTGAACTAGCCTTGCTTCTTGGAATAAACTCCATTTTGTTGTCATATATTATAAAGGATTTTTATGTCATCATGAGGGATAAAGTCTCAAGGATAATTTTCTTATGATATTTTTGCGTGGTGTTGGCATCAGGATAATGCTGGCTTCATAAAATGAATTGAGAAGTGTTCTCTCCTCTTTTTTTTTTTTTTTTGAGATGGAGTCTCACCCTGTCGCCAGGCTGGAGTGGTGCAGTGGCGAGATCTTGGGCTAATTTTTGTATTTTTAGTAGAAACAGTGTTTCATCATGTTGGCCAGGATGGTCTCAATCTTCTGACCTCATGATCCACCTACCTGCCTCAGCCTCCCAAAGTGCTGGGATTACAGGTGTGAGCCACTGTGCCTGGCCTCCTCTTATATTTTCTGGAAGATTTTATGTAGAGTTGGTATTATTTCTTAAATACTTGATAGAATTAACCAGTAATTCCTGGGCTCCTAGTTTTCTTTGTTGGGAAAATTTTTACTTATGAATTCAATTAATAGATATAGGGCTATTCAGGTTCTCCATTCTAGAGTAAGCTACGATAGTAGTTTGTGTCTTTCAAATAATTTGTTCATCTATTAACAATTTGCCAAATTTATTGCAATAAAGCTGTTCATAATACTTGTCATTTTAATGTTTTTATACTCTATACTGATGTCTCCTCATTCATTCCTGATATTGATAGTTTATCAGCTGATAGGACTTTAATCACTTATAAAATACCTTCATAGTAACATCTAGGTTAATGTTTATTGAATAACTGGGCTGTAGCCTAGCCAAGTTAACATATCTGAAGACTATCATACTCCACCCCTTGTCTGTTTGACACCCATACACATCTCCTAAAGCCATACATAGTCTTCAAATAAAGGCAATGACAGGAGTCATACTTTATCCTGACATAATGCAATTCTCCTTTATACAACCAAAAATACACTAATCCTTTCCCTAGAAGAGGATGCAGAGTCCTTGGGTGAAATTCACTCTTCTCTCATATTCTGTAACATAAATGCTATGATATAAAGTTAACCATTATGGATACATCTTATATTAGATGATAAGGAGATAGAGAAGAAACACAAATATTTGGTTAATTATATATATTCATAACAAAATAAGAAATCCTCATAAATAGTACAGTATTCATTACTGTATTCAGAAATGAATATTTATAATATTTCCAGATCAGTATTCAGCTGATGTGGAAAGAGAACTGAGCTATCAAATATCAGAGTAAATAATTAAACAACCCAAAAGGAAAGTAACAGTGGAGCCTTTATTCACTTACTTTGATAGTTTACACAAAAGGCTAAAAACCAAAGAAAGTGCCAGCTCCTTTTTCCCCCCAGTACCGTTTTCCCCATGGAATGGTACACTGGTTGAGGATCTGGTAGATTAGCATACAAGTGGGGGACATCTCACTGTTGTGAAAGCCCTGAACAAAAGGTTCCTGCGGCTTTATGGACCCTGGGTGAGGAGAGTGGAGTAGACTGGGAGAAGTGTCTTTAAGATTTCCCATTCCGGCCAGGTGCAGTGGCTCATGCCTGTAATACCAGCACTTTGGGAGGCCAAGGCGGGCAGATCACCTGAGGTCAGGAGTTCGAGACCAGCCTGGCCAATATGGCAAAACCTCATCTCCACTAAAAATACGAAAATTAGCCAGGCGTGGTGGTACATGCCTGCATTCCCAGCTACTCAGGAGGCTGAGGCAGGAGAATCACTTGAACCCGGGAGGCAGAGGTTGCAGTGAGCCGAGATTGTACCATTGCACTCCAGCCTGGGCGACAGAGTGAAACTCCATCTCAAAAAAATAAATAAATAAATAAAAGATTTCCCCTTCCTCCTTTGACAAGGTCTCAGCAGAGGCACCTGAAGAAGGCCTCAGCCAAAGTCCCCATATAAAAAGACCTAGGAATAGAAGGCATCTAGGCTAGGAATGCACATTTGTGTAAGAGCTTAGCCAGCCCCAGAGACCCAAGTCCTTGACTGCAGCTCCCTCAGATGACACCGCAGTGCACTGGCTGTGTACCAGGTTTGGTGTGGAAAGGGTGATATTTCTACTCCCCTTTTCATATTCCCTTTGCCCTCAGGAAGTACCTCAGTTTGTCCTAGTTCTTTGCCTGGTGGGGTGACCTTCATTCCTAAAATGTCTTCTAGGCCACTAGCAGTCCCATGTGAACTGGGTTGTGATCTTCTACTGACTAATTAGAGGTCATGTTAGTACTAAGGGACACCCTAAGAGATCTGCCACATTTGAGACATACTCTTCCTTACCTCTGTTGTATAGTAGCAACCTAATATCCCCTTGGTAATCAGGATTAATCACCCCAGCCAGTACAGTACCCGCCCTCTGCTGCCTGTTGATTCCAAGGCATGAGGAGCCCAAAGTGGCCAGATGGCAGTTTTAACTAACAGTTCAGTAGAATCATTGTTGTGTCTCCTGGTGGAAGCATTCCTCCCTTTGGAACTGAGCCCTCTAGACAGGCAGAGCCCAAAGTTGCAGGGACAAGAAGCAGAAATTTTGCTGGTAGATTAGATCACTAGGGGTAATAGTGAACTGGGTAATTTCTGTTTGCTCTCCTTGATTTCTGGACTCACGAATCCTGGCTGTGGGAAAAGTAGCACCCTATACTGGAAGCTGACTTAAAACATAGCAGCATCCTGGAGGACATTGACTCTGCAAAATACTGCCACTTAGCTGGCACTGTGATGGAGTCTTCAGTAGTCCATCCCACCATTCTGTCAAGGCAACTGCTTCCCGGTGATGTAGTAAGATCAGTGTTTCGTGAGCATGGCCCATTGCTGCACTTCACTTACTGAGAAGTGAATTCCTTGATAAGAAGCAGTGCTTTGTGGGATACCATAATGGTGTGGGATACCATAAGGTACTCTATAAGTCCACAAATAAGTCCACTTACCACAAATTGGTAAGTGAAAGTCCATATTGCCTAAGCCCATGCATAACCTCCACACCCACCATCATGGCCACTGTTCATGAAGCAGTGATAAGAGTGACTGCGGAAAGATGCTGACTGCTATCCATAGAACGAGTCATCCCATCCACTTTGATCATTGAAATCCTCGGCTGAGGTCACTCTTTGATGAGCATTTAATGGGACACAAGTGTTTTCACATTATTTGCCTATTCAGAGAGGTCTATCCACTGACCTATTCCCCAGGTGTCCTTGTATATTAGTTTGCTAGGGCTGCCATAACGAATACCAGACTGAGTGGCTTAAACAACAGAAACTTAACATGTTTTCTCGCATTTCTGGAAACTGGAAGTCTAAGATCAGGTGTTAGCAGGTTTGGTTTCTTCTGAGGCATCTCTCTTTGGCTTGCAGATGGCACTGCTTTCTTACTGTGTCTGCACATCCCTGGCATCTCTTTTGTGTTTCCAAATTTTTTCTTCTCATAAGGATACCAGTCAGATTAGATTAGGGTACACCCTAATGGCCTCATTTTAACTTAATCGCTTCTTTAAAGGCCCTATCCCCAATTACAGTCACATTCTGAGATACTGGAGGATAGGACTTCAACATATGAATGAGGTAGGGGGGACACAATTCAGCCCATAACACCTTGCCAACAGTTTTTCATCTGTGTTCCCTGTAAGTTCCTTACCACCCAGGCAAACCGTTTGCCACGGCCTATGAATCAGAGTAGACCCTTAGCTCAGGCCATTTTTCTTTCTAGACAAAATGAACAACCGGGTGCACTGTCAGAAGTACTGCCCACTGGGAGGCTATCCCTTCACCACTGTCCTTAAGGGATGTCCCAGAAGGGACTGTAGTGTTACAGCTGTGCACTTCCAGGTGGTACCTGCGTATCACACAGAAATATCTACAAACCAGGCCTGAGTTTTTCTTTACCAATCAACTGGCCATAGAGAACTCCCCATGAGGCCATAGGTGCAGGCTGGAAGAGACAAAGAAGAACAGGGCCGTGGGGTATTTTGGCTACTTCCTCATGCAGCTTGTGCCTTTAGGGTCTGTTTAAGCCCAGTCTTACATATACCACTTCCATTTGATAATGGAGTGCTACCGTGTACACCCCACTTTATGGCTTAGTAGGTTAGACAACATCTGTTTCATGATCAGCAGCTCAGGTCACCAGTAACTTGATGCCCCATGGTTAAGCTTTGAGTCTCTGTGAAGTCCCACTAACAAGCCAAACACTGTTTCCCAAAAGGAGAGTAGTTATTCACAGAGGATGGTAGGGCTTTTTCTAAAATCCTAAGGGTCTGTGTTGTGATTCACCTAATAGAGATCTATTAAAGACTCCAGACAGCACCTCTGTCTGCTGCCGACACTTCAGGCGCCATCAGGTTTGAATCACGTGGCCCAAATGGCAGAACAGCTTCTCTTGTTCTGGGTCCCACTTAAACTAGCAGCTTTTTTAGTTACTCAGTAAATGGGCTGGAATAGCAACCCAAATGAGTAATATGTTGTCTCCAAAATCTGAAGCAGCCCACCAGGTGTTCTCCGTGTTTTTTTGTGGTAGGAGGGGCCACGTGCAACACTTACCCTTTGCCATAGAAGGGATGTCTTTGTATGCCCCAGACCACTGGATCCCCAGAAATTTCACTAACATGGGAGGCCCTGAATTTTGGAGGGATTTATTTCCCACCTTCTGACAGACACATGTCTTACCCCCAGTATGTCTAGAGTAGTTAATACTTCTTGCTCACCAGATCCATTCAGCATAATATCACAGTGTAATGAACCAGCATGATATCTTGTGGAAGGACAAGGTAATCAGGCTCTCTGTGGACTAAATTATGATATATGGTTGAAAACAATACACCCACCCCTAAGGTAAGACATTGAAGGTATATTGCTGAAAGCAAACTGCTTCTGGTGGTCTTTACTAACAGATACCAAGAAAAAAAAGCTTTTGTCAGATCAGTCACTGCATACCAGGTCCAAGGATGTATGTTAATTTGTTCAAGCAATAAAACGACATCTGGAACACCAGTTAGAATTGCAGTTGCCACCTGATTAGATGTACAGTAATCCACTGTCATTCTATAGGATCCATCTGTTTTCTGCACTGTCCAGAGTAGGCAAGTTGAATGAGAATGAAGTGGGAATCACCACCCCTACCGCTTTCAGTCCTTGATGGTGACACTAATCTCTGCAGTCCCTCCAGGATTGTGGTGTTGCTTTGGTTTACTCTTTTCTAGGTAGAGGCAGTTTTAGTGGCTTTTACTTGGCCTTTCCCACCATAGTAGCCCTTACTCTACAAGTCAGAGCATATAGTGATATTACTCATTGCTGAGTATGTCTGCTCCAATTGTACATTCTGAAACTGGGAAAATAACCGCAGGATGGGCTCAGGGACCTGCTAGGCCCACTGAGACAGACCTGAGCTAAAACTCCATTGATCACTTGACTTCATAAGCCCCTACTCTGACTGCTGGACCACAGCGAAGTTTGGGTCCCCTAGAATTAGTGTTAGTTCAGAAGCCAGTGTCTAGTAATCCCCAAAAAATCATTGTTTCCCCTTCTGCAAGGCAAATAGCCATAGGTCCCTTTGGGGAAGGGTAGGAGAAAGATAAACAGGAAAGTCTCCTCAAGAGGACACAGCTTCCCTTTCATTAAGGAGATTCTGGGTCTGTAAACTAGCTCATTTCTGGGAATTGCTTAAGGGGCCATGACTCTCTTCAGGTGATTCAAGTTATACTTCTGTTTACCAGACCTAGAATTCTTCTGCTTATACAGATCAAGTAAGAGTTAGTAGACTGCCCATCTATTTCTTTTTTAGGGACACCATGATCAACCACCCAATGCTATAGGTCTCAGCAAGTCAGACTATTCTGATTACTGCTTTGGCTCCACTATTTATTATGGTAACTATGCCCACCTTGATTTGGCATGGTGCTGCTACTTGGGCCCTGCCACCCCGGGATTCCTTTATCCCCATTGCATTTAGGGATCCCAGTTGATGGTAGCAGTTCCCACTGTAATTTCTGACCTACAAAGAGAAGCAACCACAGAGCAAAGATGCTGGGCCTCACCTCACAAATTGATTTCTCACAGTGGTGGTGAAGGGTGCGTCCTCTAACCCTTCCAGGGTGACCTGTCAGTTCTTTGCTCCTTTTTTCTTCTTCCTGCTTTCTTTTGGATTAATAATTTTTTATTGGCCGGGCACAGTGGCTCACGCCTGTAATCCCAGCACTTCGGGAGGCCGAGGTGGACAAATCACGAGGTCAGGAGATGGAGACCGTCCTGGCTAACATGGTGAAACCCCATCTCTACTAAAAATACAAAAAATTAGCCTGGCCTGGTGGCACATCTGTAATCCCAGCTACTTGGGAGGCTGAGGCAGAAGAATCACTAGAACCTGGGAGGTGGAGGTTGCAGTGAGCCGAGATCACACCACTGCACTCCAGCCTGGGCAACAGAGCGAGACTCCATCTCAAAAAAATATATATATTTTTTGTCTTCATTACTGGCCTTTTACTTTGCTTTTCCCTTTTAATGGTTGCTCTGGGGTTTTACAGTATACATTTTTAACCCATCACAGTCTATTTTCTTTCTTTCTTTTTTTTTTTTTTTTTGAGACGGAGTCTTGCTCTGTTGCCCAGGCTGGAGTGCAATGGTGTGATCTTGACTCACTGCAATCTCTGCCTCCCAGGTTCAATCAATTCTCTTGCCTCAGCCTCCTGAGTAGCTGGGATTACAGGTGCACACCACCACACCCAGCTAATTTTTGTATATTAGTAGAGATGGGGTTTCACTATCTTGGCCAGGCTGGTCTCAAACTCCTGTCTTCAAGTGATCTGCCTGCCTTGGCCTCCCAAAGTGCTGGATTACAGGTGTGAGCCACCACACCTGGCCGGTTTTCAATTGATAATATTTTCCTGTGGTGTCAGAACCTTAAAAGAGTATGCATTTATTTTGTATACTCCCCATTTTTGCTATTGTTGTTATACATTTTACTGCTACATACATTATAAATTCTTGTATATATTGGTATATTTGTTTTAGATAATTATCTCTTAAGGAGAATAAAAAATTAGAAAAGATCTTTTTTATAGTTGCCCACATAGTTACCATTTTTAGTGCTTTTTATCCTTTGTATAGGTAGATCCAGATTCCCATCTGATTTGGTTTTCTTGCAACCTGAAGAACTTCCTTTAGTGTTTTCTGTAGTGTAGGTCTGTTCTTACCTTTTGATTTGTCTGACAAAGTCTATTTCCCACTTCATTTTTAAACATATTTTTCCTAGATTGCTAATGTTTCTTTTCTCTCTCTTTTTTTTTTTGAGACAGAGTCTCACCCTTTTGCCCAGGCTGGAGTGCAGTGGCACAATCTCAGCTCACTGAAACTTCCACCTCCCGGGTTCAAATGATTCTCCTATCTCAGCCTCCTGGATAGCTGGAATTACAGTCACCCACTACCACACCTGGTTAATTTTTGTACTTTTAATAGAGTTTCTCCATGTTGGCCAGGCTGGTCTTGAACTCCTGACCTCAAGTGATCTGCCCACCGCGGACTCCCAAAGTGCTGGGATTACATGAGCCACCACACCTGGCCGGCTAATGTTTTTCTTTTGGTACTTTATAAATGTCTCCATTGTGTTTGGCTTGCATAATTTCTGATGAAAAGTCTGTTGTCACTTTTATCTTGGCACTTTTTTGTTTGTTTGTTTCTTTTTGAGACAGGGTCTTGCTCTGTTGCCCAGGTTAAAGTGCAGTGGTATGATCATAACTCACTGAAGCCCCGAACTTCTGGGCTCAAGCAATCTTTCCACGTCAGCCTCTCGAGTAGCTGGGACTACAGTCATGCACCACCATGCCCAGCTAATTAAAAAAAAAATTCTTTTTGTAGAGACAAGGTCTTACCATGTTGCCCACACTGGTCTCAAACCCCTGGGCTCACGTGATCCTCCCACCTCAGCCTCCCAAAGCACTGGAATTACAGGCATGAGCCACTGTGCCCAGCTGTCATTCTTTTCTTTATACTTCTATATATGATGTGCCTTTCCCTTCCTCTGTCTGCTTTCAGATTTTCCTTTTATGACTGGTTTTAGCAATTTGATTATGATGTGCCTTGGTTTGTTGGGATTTTTTTTAAAGTTATTATGTCTGGGATTCATTGAGCATCTTGGACATATGGGCTTATAGTTTTCGTAAAAATTGGAGACTTCTTTGGCTATTATTTCTTCAAATATTTTTCTGTCTCCCTCCCCTTTTTGGAGATTCCAATTTCACATTGTTAGGTCATTTGATATTGCCCAAAAATGAAGCTCTGGGTTGTTTGTTTTAGGTCTTCTTTCATTCTGGTTATTTCTACTGCCATGTGTTCAAGTTTCCTGATGTTTCCCTCTTCTGTGTATCCCTGCTGTTAATCCAATCCCATGTGATTCACTTTTTTTTTTTCAGACGGGGTCTTGCCGAGTCTGGTCCTTGAGCTACTGGGCTCAAGTGATCCTCTCACCTCAGTCTCCTAAGTAGCTGGGGTTGATTCACTTTTATATCTTCAGTTTCTCTTCATTATCGTCCTGTTTTCCTCTACCTTCTGTAACATACAGCATGAATTTACAGTAGTCTTGAACATCACGTCTGCTCCTTCTATCATTTTTTTCATTTCTGAATCTGTGTCTATTTATTGATCTGTCTCCTGGCTATGGGTCATTCTTTCCTTGCTTCATTTCATGCCTTTTATGGTGGTTCTTTCCTCAGCTGCAGATAGTTTCCCCTCATGCACATGCAGAACAATACTCGGCCAGAGTTTCAAGGACCGCTCTTTAGAGCTCTGGAGCTCTCCTGTTGTGCAGCAGCTGCTCTCCAGCATTTCACGTCACAGATTCCAGCTGCCCTGGCCTCCCTCAGGATTATGACTGTGTTAGGACTTTTCTGGACACTGAACTTTTGTCACTCCAAAGTTTTGGGCTTAGTTATTATTCCTCCTTCCCCACACAGGTTCAAAATAGGCCAAATGGTCCAGGCTCGGTGGCTCACACCTGTAATCCTAGCACTTTGGGAGGCCGAGGTGGGCAGATCATTTGAGGTCAGGAATTCAAGACCAGCTTGGCCAACATGGTGAAACCCCATCTCTACTAAAAATAGAAAATTTAGCTGGGCACAGTGGCATGCACCTGTAATCCCAGGTACTCGGGAGGCTGAGGCAGGAGAATCGCTTGAAACTGGGAGGCAGAGGTTGCAGTGAGCCAAGATCACACTGCTGCACTCCAGCCTAGGTTACAGAGTGAGACTCCATCTCAAAAAAAAAAAAAAAAAAAAATAGGTCAAATGTCTTAAGGGAGAGATTGGTTGTATGTCTGCTATGGGTTCCCTCAGTTGGGATTTTGTTTCCTAAGTACCACAGTACTGCACAAGATTGCCATTTTGACCCCAGCCACCTCCTCCAATGTGGCTCTTACAGACTTTTGATTGAGAGCCTGGTAGGTGTCTGTTTTCACAGCACTATAAATTGTGTTCTTTGGATTCCTTTTAAATAGAGGTGGGGTCTCACTATGTTGCCCAGGCTGGTCTTGAGCAATCCTCCTGTGTCAGTCTTCCAAAGTGCTGGGATTATAGGCATGAACCACTGTACTTGTTCTTCAGATTTTTTGAGCCTAGCTCTGTAACCTCTTGCCCCAAGCAGGTTCAAGATCTGGCAGAGGCCTTGCGTGGAAAATCAGTTGCATATTGGTTTCAGGCCCCCTTCTCCATAGAAGTACCTTATCTATTAAACATCATGATACTATGAGAGATTTCACTCAACCTCTCTGAGCTAGCCCCTTCCTCCTTGTGTACCATCTTAGACTTTCACAAATGTTCCTTGGGGAAAACTGGCTTTGCACTTGGTTTCTTCTAGCTTCTAATCTGTTGTACATGACCACCAAAAACTCTGATGGTTTCACTTTCCTTCTGCTTGAGTCAAGTCCAGTCTTCAGTCCATGCCCAAAAGCATTACACATCCCTGAAAAGAAAATGATCAGCAATCATCAGTTCAGCTAAGATAGGCTCTTGCTCTCTAGAATTTTAGTTCATGTTGTCCTTGTTACTTCCATAGCTCCCCAGTGTCTTTACAAATGATTTCATGATTTCTTCTTTTTTCTTTCCAGTTTTGCAGCAAGAATGCAGGTTGCAGTAGACATAATGCATTCCTTTTGTGTGTGTTACATACTACATTCTACTCAGAAGTGGAAACCAAATGAAACAGTTAAAGACCGCGTTTTCTACCTAGAGCATATTGTTTCTCCTCTATTCATTGTGATTTCCCTTCTTTGACTTCTTGGTTTATGACTTTGCCACCTACCAGTCTCCAGTCTGAAATGGAACGCTGTGCTAGGGCCTTTGGCTTTGGCAAGTCTGGGTTTTTCACTACCTGGGACTGGTCTAAGCCTGATTTGCATTCCAGTGTTGCATTCATTTTTATAGGACCAGGACTAAAACCTCCAGAGGAACGGACAATAGAATACCTAGAAGAAGTTGCAATTACTTTTGCCAAAGGACTAGCTGATAAGAAGATCTCTCCAAAGAGAGACAAGGGATTGGTGGAAAGTGAGTATCATTGTTAAAGAACAAAGGCAAAGCTTCTTTCCTGAGAATTTAATTTTATTTGCTGTAGATTCAAAATGAGGAAGTGGTAAATGCATTATTTACTCAAAGCATAAAGTCAGCCTTAGGTAGGAGATGTAACAACTCCTCAACTTTACACTATCCAGTTAAAGCCAATTTTTAAAACCTTTTTTTTCCTTATGATGACCCTTGAGTCATAGAAAACTTTTCATTTTAGAAAATGTTAAGCATGAACACAAAAAGACTAGATAACAGTGTTATAAACACTCATGTACCCAAGGCCCAGCTTTAACATTCATCACTTAGCATGTTTAAGGTAGTGCTTAGGTTGAAATTTATATTGTGTGTATCAGAATAAAGAGCAGTTCTTGCAGATAGCTAGAATTACTTCATTTTTATAGAGTTTAGAGCATAAACTAACAAGGGAATCTAGGCTCTTTATAGTAAATATCTAAAAGCATTTTATTTTACAGAATTGACAGCGTATGCCATGACTATTCCATTTGTCAGGCAACAGGTTTACAAAAAAGTGGAAGAAAAAGTGCGAAAGCAGACTAAAGGCCTTTATCCTGCACCTCTGAAAATAATTGATGTGAGTCTTACCCAATATTCCCACTTTTCTCATATTTCCTTCCTTTATATAGATCACTCCTCCTTATTGCCATTCTGGACCATGTATGTTGAGTACTAAATTTCTTAATTCTGCTATTAAAGTATTTACCAAAAATAAGGGAAGGGCATAGCAAG
The DNA here is from genome assembly GCF_000001405.40 of Homo sapiens. Classification (NCBI taxonomy): domain Eukaryota; kingdom Metazoa; phylum Chordata; class Mammalia; order Primates; family Hominidae; genus Homo; species Homo sapiens. Next base: position 26,214,287 of record NC_000002.12, on the reverse strand, counting down.
CTGTAAGGACTCATATAAAGTGATATATTTGGGGAAAATCAGTGCTGGACTTACTCATTGATTGATGCAGTTAAATGTATCAGTAACAAACCAGAAAACCAGGAAAGGAACCTAAGTCATATCAGTATCACAAAGCCATTAGAGTGTCAGGCACTAACCAAAAAGTAGTTGAAACAAAATTGATGGCTCTGTTCTATTCTTGGTCAACATCATTGTCAGTACCTAAAATCCCTCAAGGACTTCTTCATTGCTGTAATTATAAAAAAGATGTAATGATGTAGAGAAGCTCTGCAAAAGATCAATGAGAATAATTAAAATGATCACAGGATTCAAGAAATCTCCAACAGTAGACTTTAAAACTTAGAACTTTTCAGTGTGGAAAGTCCAAGATTAAGAGAGTATATAACCAAAGACTTCAGAATTGGTGAATGGGTCAGTCAGCAAGTATATCTTGAGTAGAAGGCACCAAAGCACATAAAATATGAAACATGCCCCCACCTGCCTTCGTCTCACAGGCTGGACTGGGGAAGTTAGATATATATATGTGTTAAGGTGGATAGCCTTTAAGAGATATAAGGCAGCATAAGATTAATGCCAGATGAGTGGGACAGAGGAGGCAACAATTACCATGAGACAAAGAGATCAGTAAGTGCCTCATGGGATCTGACCCCAACCCTGAAAGCTGGGTGGAGGATAGGTGAAGGAGGGAAAGTATTGCCAAGGAGGGTGGGCATTTAGAGCAAAGTTATGGAAGCTGGAAAACAAGCTCTTCAAGGAACATTAGTGAGACCAGTATTTGTGGGGGATAATGAGATGTTAGTCTGAAGAAAGGCAGATTGAAGCTGGATTTTAGAAGGTTGGTAATAATGAATTGAGAAATTTTACCTTTGTCCGATAAAGATTCTAGAGAGCCATTTTCATGGTAGTGGGTAAAAATGGTTTCGAAGGAGAGACAAAGTAGAGCAGTGAATTAGCAAAACTGTCCTGATAATCCAGGCTTGAGCTTTGAATAAGGCCCTGAGATAGAATAGTAAAAATAGGAAAGCAGCAACAGGCTTGCCAAAGAGAGGTTATGAGTTAGGTTCAGATATATTGAGTTCAGATATTTTGGGAAATTCAAGCAACAGTAGTTTAGACAGAGAAGTCAGAGTTAGAGATGTCAATTTGCTTATTTCTAAAAATTTGTCATTCTCATAAATTATGATAGTGAGTAAGTACAGGGTTATTTTTTTCATCTTTTATATTTGCCATTGTACTTAGGATAGTACTTACCCCAAATGTTACATTGAATTTTGTAGAGTTCATTAATGTGATAAACTAGGTCATGCATCTGAGGGAGAAAGTGTAGAGAGTGAAAAGGGCTGAAAGTGGAAGTTGAGGATCTGCCTACATTTGAAGATCAGGAGAGAAGCCGGAAGAGTAATTCAAGCTTTGTCTTTCCTTCTCATGGCCATGTTATGCTAGATTTAGCAGTAGCCTCAAAGATGGAGAATTAAGTCAGTCGAGAGCAGCCAGATCCTCAGTCCTCTTCTCTTTCTCATTCCAGTCTAGACTTTTGACTTACTCTTTGAGGACTAACAACACTGGCAATTTTATTCAGCATTATTGTACATCTCGCCAATCTATTCCAACGCTGAGCAAGTGCTTTATATGTTTTTTAGGTGGTAAAGACTGGAATTGAGCAAGGGAGTGATGCCGGTTATCTCTGTGAATCTCAGGTAAACTTATTTCCTTTCAATGTTTTATTATCAGTTAAAGGAAAACTAAAGATCCAATCCTCTGTATAAAGCTGAAAAAGGAAAAAAATATCCAAAGCCTAGTAAAAATTTTTTTCTTCCAGTGCTTATCATCTCTTATGATTAATCTCAGTGAGCAAGTGGATGCTAAGAATACCCTAATGGGGCCAGGCGTGGTGGTTTACCCCTGTAATCCCAACATTCTGGGAGGCCGAGGTGGGCAGATCGTTTGAGCTCAGGAGTTCAAGACCAGCATGTGCAACATGGCAAAACCCCATCTTTACAAAAACTACAAAAGTTAGCCAGGCATGGTGGCATGCACCCACAGTCCCAGCTACTTGCAGGGCTGAGGCAGGAGAATTGTTTGAGTCCAGGAGGTCAGGGCTGCAGTGAGCTAAGTAAGATCGCACCACTGCATTCCAGCCTGGGTGACAAAGTGAGACCCTGTCTCCAAAAAAAAAGAAAAAAAAGAAAAAACCCTATGGTCTGCAGATGTTTGAACTTACTTTTAGTAATAAGGTTGTCTCTACGAAGGGCAGGAACAGAGTTCTAATCCTTTCAAAACAAGTCACTTGGGTGTTTTTTGTTCCGCACTTGGGCAGGTTTTATTGAGACAAAATGAATACAAAGACAGAAAAATATTTTTCTTACATGTTAAGGCCTAGAGATGATGAAATTGAATTTTTTGGTAAATTGGAAAAGGAAAGGAAGTATCTTGTACCCACTAAAAGACGAAGACAGAAGAGATGTATGTACCAGCTTTACCTGTGTACTTTTCTAGCAACTTGGTGATGTTGCAGATTTAAGTGATTTGTGTTTGTTTTTAAGTTTTAAACGATCATCGAAGAATGGTTGCTCTTTTATAAAGTTGAATATCTCTTATCCAAAATGTTTGGGACTAGAAACATTTCAGATTTCAGACTTTGTCAGATAGTGGAATATTTGCATATATATGATGAGAGATCTTGGGAATGGGATCAGAGTCTAAACATGAAATTAATTTCATATACACCTTATACACATAGCCTGATGGTAATATCATACATTATTTTTAATAATTTTTCACATAAAACAGTTTTGACTGCAGCTCATAACATGTGTAATATCTTGCCCATGACATCATGTTGGCACTCAAAAAGTTGGATTTTGGAGCATTTTGGATTTTGGATTTTCAGATTAGGGATGCTCAACCTGTAAAAGGACAAAAAAAAAAATCTGAAGAGCTCAGGACAAGTACCAGAAAAACACTTCTGGTACTAGATGTCTCATTGGGCATTTCTGATTTTTTAAAAATATAACCAAGTGCACATAAACATACGTACAGAAAAATTGAGGAATAAGTTTCACGAATCAGTAACTGTCCTGTGTGCATTGTGCTCAGTATTTTCTGTGTATTCCGCTTTTTATATATGTAATGCTTATTGGCACCCACTAAATTTCTGACCATTGATGAATCTTTTGCCCATGTTTGAAAATCACTGGTTTATTAGATAAAACATCCTGTATCAAGATTAGTAAAGCATTGATTGTGTTGTCATTTTATGTTCTTTTGGGTCATGAAAGCAACTTTATTAGAGGGATTCTTTTGAAATGCTCTTTGTAACCATGCAATCTTACCATTATATCCTAGTGATATTAATAATAGCTAACCTTGAGACCCTGGTCATTTTACTAGTGTTCTCATTTAATCCCCCAGAACAATACTGTAAAATGGGTATTGTTTTTCCCATTTTTAAGGATGAAGAAAGCTTCACAATGGGGCAGTGGCAGAGACAGGATCTGTCAAATCCTAGATATTATGCCTTTAACCACCAAGTTGAGACTTTTTCTCCATAAATTAAGCTACTTTTAAAAGTGGTAAGTCCCACGTGGGCAGCCTGCTACAGTGGAAAAAGAACCGGAGTTCGAGGCGAGGCACGGTGGCTCACGCCTGTAATCCCAGCACTTTGGAAGGCCAAGGCGGGCAGATCACGAGGTCAGGAGATCGAGACCATCCTGGCTAACACGGTGAAACCCCATCTCTACTACAGATACAAAAAATTAGCCAGGCGTGGTGGTGGGCACCTGTAGCGCAGCTACTCAGGAGGCTGAGGCAGGAGAATGGCGTGAACCTGGGAGGCGGAGCTTGCAGTGAGCCGAGATCGTGCCACTGCACTCCAGCCTGGGTGACAGTGCGAGACTCCATCTCAAAAAAAAAGAACTGGAGTTCAGAGTCATACTGTCTTGGTTCAAGTTCCATTTCTGCCACTTTGAGGCAGTATAGCCTTGAGCAAAGTCACTCCATTTCTTTGGACCTCCTCTTCCCAATCTGTAAAATGAGAGGGTTGGTTTGAGATGATTGTGGAGGCTCATTTTGGCCCTGAGACTCTAGTTTTATGAAAAAGGTTACCACACCTCTGGTGTAAAGAATCTGAGAGCTTAGTTATATCCAAAACTTTCTTCAACACAGTAGTTGGAAAGTGCTCCAGATAAGACAAGTAAAGACAAGACACATCAGTGAGAGACAGACTTCTGCAGCACTGAACCCCCAAACTCCCCCGCATCCCCAGGGACTCAGGCTTCACATGCATTACCTCTGCTCTTCAGAGGAACCTGAACTGAAGGAATCCATATAACCTAGACTGTGAAGTTCTACCTTTTCTCATTCCCCTTTACTTTTCAGAAATTTGGAGAGCTTGTAATGACCAAAGAATCAAAGGCCTTGATGGGACTCTACCATGGTCAGGTCCTGTGCAAGAAGAATAAATTTGGAGCTCCACAGAAGGATGTTAAGTAAGTTAAACTCTACGTAGGAAGCCCTTGTGAATTTTACTGTGTGCAAAGTTCACAGAGGCTTTGAAGATCTACAGAGCTAGATCTGTATCTTAATTCAGTCTTGCCCTCAACTTCTTTCCTGAGCACATTTGAGCCCTTATGTCTACTAAAAACTTTTTGGCTTTCAAAGTTCTGCCTGTTCTGAGTTTTTTCCAAACCCCTCTGGTCATTCCTATAGAGGCTTTCTTGTCACATATTGATGTTGCCTAGAAGTCTGGTTTAGGTCCCCCTTCCCAAACCACACACTCCCTCTGCACTGTTCAATGATCATCTCTCTCCCTGTGATTTGAGATGTCATCTCTGGGAACTCACACTTCTTCCTCATTAAAAAACATAAAACCTCATTGTAATTGTTAAAATCTTGTCCTTCTTTTAGCTTACAACCTAAGTATTGGAAAGTCTGTTTGCCTCTTTCATGTGTATTGCCATAAGCCAGCCTTTTTCCATATTACGCTGCCTAATAGCTCTTCAGAGTCTATGTTTAATGATGCAACTTGTAGCTCTGTGGTTCTCAGCGTGGACAATTTTGCCTCCCAGGGGGACATTTGACAATGCCTGGGAACATTTTTGGTTGTCACAACTAGGGAGGGAGGGATGCTACTGGCATCTGTGGGTGGAGGCCAGGGATGCTGCTAACCATCCTATAATGCACAGATAGTCCCCACCATAAAGAAATATCCAGTTCGAAATGTCAGTAGTCCTGAGGTTCAGCTGTTCTAGCTGAACTGCTGTGGGGGATTTAAGAGAAGCAGCTAATGATACTGCCTTCTCCATCCTCTCACCTTTAATGAGATTACAAATACAAAATACAAAATAAAATGGATAAGAAGTCCGGGTGAAACAGGTAAGATTCTAACCAAGAGGGCTGATTTCCAATTAGAATCTGAAATACAACCTTAACTGCTTCTCTCAAACATTTAGTGACTGCTATCAATCCCATCTGAAGAGCCAATTGCATTTGTTCCACCTAACCTTGATAGTACCTTGCATTCGATGAGCAGGGTAAATTACTTCCATGTTGCAGGAGGAAAATTATGGCCACTTAAACCTGTATCTCTTTACACATTCTACAAAAATCAACAGATTAATAAGGAAAACAAAGCCACCCATTCCCTGTGCACGGCATAAATAGAAGGCAGAGAAGCATCCTGCAAAATTACAAAACCTAGATACACCAACTTCTACCCCTCCCCACCGTATCCCTCCATGTACACAAAGAATGCTGTCAATTAAAGAAACTGCACTTTGCAACAGAAGAGGGTACTCTTAAATTAAAAAACCTAGTGTCTTAATTTATTAACTCCAGACTCCTCCTGCCTGAGCATTTATTGTCGTATGGAGGTAGTATACATCTCCATGTAACAATAAAATACCCCTTGGAAAAGGTGGTATTGTGTAGTCAGTATGCAAAAAAGAAAGACAGCACCCACAAAAAGCTAATATAAGAAAAAAAGAGAAAATGAGAATCAGAATACTGAAGTTTATGAAAATTCTGTCCCCCAAAAAACAACCACAATGCAGAAGAAGACTATAACAGAACTTGATTTAAATATTCTTAAATCAGCATTTGCAAATCAGAAAAAAAACTGCCTTGAATCAAAAATTCAAAAACTCAGAACTAAATGGGCAGAAAAACAGGATAAATATAGGAGTTGACCTAACTTGGGAAAGACATTGAAGAAAAAGTTAGCATCATCTTAGAAATGAAGAATAAGCTATAAGATACCCAAGGCAAAATATGTTAAACTGAAAATTGAATAATGAACATTGTAGATAGGGTGTCCCCCTTCCTGCTTTCCCAGTTATCAGTAATTCTTCCACTATTATTTCTCTAGGCCCCTTCCCCCTTGCCTTGGATGATAACTGGAATTCCTTATCTATTGTCTCTTTACAAATTAATCTTTCATATGAATAACGCATTCCATCAGTTCTAATAAGTGAAGAGCAGTACTTATGAAAAAAAATACTGAGCTACAAATTAGTATACAGACAAGGTACCATGTTATGCATTCCTCAAATCACAACATTTCTGTGTAATCAACCCTCAAAAGTTCATGTCACCCAGCAGTTGGCTTATAAAGCATCGTGCACCATAGATGTTAGCCTGCTGGGTAATTACACAAGTGGGTCATTTCAAGGGTGCTGAAGATGTTTATTAGAAGGATTCCGTAGATTGTGAAGTGTGTTAATTTAACTCTACATTGTTGTAGACAAATATTAAACAACTATAAAGCCATCATGAAAATTTTGGTGTTAATGAAGCGGAGCATAACAGTTAAGAAATGAGTAATATTTTAGCTGTGGATTCTGTTATACCAAAAAAGCTTTAAACACAGTTTTAGATTTTACTATTATTGTTATTAACAGCTAAAGTTAACATTCCAGCAAATGCCCTCCCACCAAAAAAAAAAAAAAAAACCTACTAAATAATGCATTCTTTTTCTCCTTTCAAAAAAATTATCATAAATAAGATTATAAGATACTCTTTTGTGTTTATGGGATTTTTTTTGTTAGGGGAAAGGGGTGGGTTTGTTTTTTTAGAGACAGGGTCTCATTCTGTCACCCCGGCTGGAGTGCGATGGCATAATCACAGCTCACCATAACCTTAAACTCCTGGGCTCAAGCAGTCTTCCCACCTCTGTCTCCTGAGTAGCTGAGACTACAGGCACATACCACCACACCCGGCTCATTTTCAAATATTTTGTAGAGATGAGTTCTTGCTAAGTTGCCCAGGCTGATCTCAAAATTCTGGCCTCAAGCAGTCCTCCTGCCTCATCCTCCCAAAGCACTACGATTATAGGCATGTGCCACCATGCCTGGCCTATACTTATGGTATGTTTTAACATAAAAGGAATCCTTCTGTATGGATCCTGTAGCTTGCACTTTTTACTCAGTGATATGACTTGGAGATGTAGATTAGTACATATCAGGTAACTCCTTCCTTTTAATCCCCTGTTGACGAATTACTGGCTGTTACAATTTTTCATTACAAACATTATTATATAGCTGTTCATCACAGCATGTCATCTTGTGTATAAGTCCATCTCTGTAAAGTAGATAATGACGAGTAGAATTACTATGTTATACAGTATGCAGTTCTTGGTTTTAACAAAACCAAAGAACCCCCCCAAAAGTAGGACAAAGTATACTTCCGTGAACCATGCATGAACTAATTTTTTGTACATCCTAACTGATACTTTAAAATTTTTGGCCAGGTGTGGTGGCTTACGCCTGTAATCCCAGCACTTTGGGATTCCGAGGTGCGTGGATCACCTGAGGTCAGGAGTTCGAGACCAGCCTGGCCAACATGGTGAAACCCCATCTCTACTAAAAATACAAAAATTAGCTGGGTGTGGTGGTGGGCACCTGTAATCCCAGCTCCTCGGGAGTCTGAGACAGGAGGATCGTTTGAACCTGGGAGGCAGAGGTTGCAATGAGCTGAGATCGCACCGTTGTACTCCACCCTGGGCGGCAAGAGTGAAACTCCATCTTAAAAAAAAAAAAAAAAAAATTGCCAGTCTGATGCATCTCATTTTAATTTGCATTGCCCCAGTTATTAGGGAAATTGAACATCTTTTTATTATTATTATTATTTTCATAATAGAGATGAGGTCTCACTGTGTTGCCCAGGCTGGTTTCAAACTCCTGAGCTCAAGCGATCCTCCCTCCTAGGCCTCCCAAAGTGTTAGGATTACAGGCATGAGCTACCGTGCCTGGCTGAAATTGAGCATCTTTACTGACAATTTGTTTTGTTCTTTTATGAATTGCTTTATATCCCTTGCCCATTTTATTTCGTTGTCTTTTTAAATTGATATATGCATGTTCTGTTTTTCCAGTAGTATCCTTTGTCTGCTGTATATGTCACAAATTCTTCCCATTCTATGGTTGTCTTAATTTTGTGGGTTCATTTGTCAAACAGAATTTTTTTTTTTAAAAAAAATGGAGTCTCACTCTGTCACCTAGGCTGGAATGCAGTGGCACAATCAGCTCACTGCAACCTCCGCCTCCCAGGTTGAAGCAATTTTCCTGCCTCAGCCTCTTGAGTAGCTGGGATTACAGGTGCACACCACCAAACCCAGCTAATTTTTTTATTTTTGTATTTTGGTGAGGTTGGTCTTGAACTCCTGACCTTGTGATCTGCCCGCCTTGGCCTCTCAAAGAAAGAGCTGGGATTACAGGCGTAAGCCACTGTGCCCAGCCAAAACAGAAATTTTTAATTTTGATGTAGCAAATGTATCAGTCTTTTTTTTCAGTCCCTATTTTTTGTTTCTCTACTGTATTTTCTCATTGTCCTGCAATTACTTATCACTCACCATATAAATATTTGTACCATTACAAAGCTGCATTTAGAAGATGCTCCTAGGACTTGAAGTTAGATTTCCTTTTCAGGACTTTAGTATGATTTTTGAACATTACAATCAGAATGGTTAAGAATGAAACTTTATCCCTCATTTCAACTCTAATTTGGATAACAGTGCTGTAAACTTGGGCTTCTTTTATGAAGAGATTCTTTAAAAATTTTTCTTAGTTATTTACTATGGGAATATGGCAAATTATTCCAGAACTATAGGGAACTAAAATGAATAAGCAGATATGATCTCTGGTCCTCAAAAGGCTTAGAATTTAATTGAGGAGACAAATAATGGACACGAAGCCATTCCAGGATACTCTGGGGTAAATCAAGTCGTCCTGAGAAGTTCTAGAGGAATTCAGGGGCAAAAAAAGGTAGCAATGTGCATATGTGGAAGTGTTTAAGGAAGGGATAAGGTCTGGAAGCAAAGAGACCATGGAGGAGACTTTGAATTCATCCAGACGAGGAGTGATAAAGGCACAGATTTTGGGGGAAATGAAAGATTACACGATGGCTCACACCTGTAATCCCATCTCTTTGGGAGGCTGATGTGGGAGGATCATTTGAGGCCAGGCCAGGAGTTCGAGACCAGCCTGGGCATCATAGTGAGACCCTATCTACAAAAAAACTTAAAAATTAGCCAGGAGTGGTGATATGCACCTTTAGTCCGAGCTACTCAGGAGACTGAGGCAGAAGGATCACTTGTACCCAGGAGTTCAAGGCTGCAGTAAACCTAGGATTGCACCACTGCACTCCAGCCTGGGTAAGGGAGCAAAACCATGTCTCTCAAAAAAAGAAAGAAAGATGACTGGCAGATAGTCAAAATCACTAACAAATAAGTTGTTCAATAAGAAAAGAGGTTGGTCTTTTTGTTCGAAAAACAAAAATACTCATGTTGACTTAAATGTAAACTGGTTGTTTTGATTTCAGTGATTTCGAAGCATGATTGAAGATTAGTATAATTCTGTCTTCTTGGGTAGACCAGTTCTTTTAGACCTGGTGGGTTTTTGCACTTAACTTTTAAGATCAATCATTTATTAAAGCTGTGTTTTTAATAAATAAAAATTATTTGAAACACCTTATAGTTGTGCCTGCATTAGTTGGTTTATTGAATAACTTAGGCAATCTTCCACTTTGACTGAAATGATTAAGATCAGTTTACCGAAAGTCATTTCATCCTTGCCTTGCAGGCATCTGGCTATTCTTGGTGCAGGGCTGATGGGAGCAGGCATCGCCCAAGTCTCCGTGGATAAGGGGCTAAAGACTATACTTAAAGATGCCACCCTCACTGCGCTAGACCGAGGACAGCAACAAGTGTTCAAAGGGTAAGCCTGCTCTCTCTCTTTGCAAGAGTTAGAATGTCCTTTGTTTCTTGGTTAGTTGTTTTTTGTGGTGGCTTGGTGGGTTTTTTTGTTTGTTTGTTCTTGCCATCACGGATTCCTTTTTCCTGAACATAATGAGTTCTAGATACTCCGTAGTGAAGCCAAGTTTCTTTTGATTTTTAGAAATGCCAATTCCTTCTTTGACTTCGTTTTGTTATAGATATCATAGACAATTAACATCCTTGGAGTCTGTAGTCTTTGAATGCAGAAGGGAAAATCTTATCTAGTAGATACTTGTTAATGCCATTTTACACTTTCGTATCAGGCCTGCGGATTTTGATATAGTTTGCAGGTAATTGCTCTATTGTTAAGGATTATTCAAACAGCATGACTGTCTCTGTTGAGAAGACTGAGTGAGGTTAGGATGTAAGGAAATGGGCAGTAACTGCAGGGGGAAGGCAGGGCCGGGATCAGGACTCTTCAGACTTTTATTTCCTGACTGGCATTACAGAGAGAAGCCATGAACTGATCCCTCCACAGTGTCTGGGGCTTTACAGACTATCTCCATCTTACCTCTGAATTAATAAAGGGGGAATATTATTCCCCTTCCTCACCACCTGCCTCTCTCACCATCACACACATGCTGCCTGTTTTGCAGAGGGGAAGGTGGAGCAGCAGCTTGGCCAAATGGAGGGTTGGTTTGATCAGTTTTCTGCTCACATTTAATGGACAAGCTGGCTGCACTTAAAGCATCCTGCATGTGACTTTTAGCTGAGTGAGCTTTTTTGTTTCTTAAATGGATTAGATAGCTTAAGCATGTTGTTATCCCTTTTCTGCAGAGAAGCTCACATATTGCTGCCATAATGCTAACCAGGACCTGGCAGGTTTCATCGTGTTGGCAGATTATTGTAAGATAACAAGTTGTAGTAGAAGATTCTGACCAAAAAAATGATGTGTGCTAGATAGCAGCAGTGCCCTGAAACTAGCATGCAAGCATCCCAAACAGCATTCCATACCATCACCAAAGTAAGAAATTGTTGCTCTAAAATAGTTTCCTCCCCCAGTCTCTCTTGAATAGTGTCCTGGGTTCCCCTTTTCGTCTTAGAAACATCAGGTTCTGGCGAGTGCCGCTCACCACACTGCTGACTTGGGACAATAGTTCCTGTCCTCTCTTGGGAATAGTTTAATCAGGCATTAGAATTAGAGCAACTGATAATGTTTTGAATGCTGACAAGTATCTTGTTTGCTGACTGCTGTCATGATTGTCAAAAACAAAAGCTTTGAGCCCATACTTTTAAGACCTTATTTGATGTTTTTGTTTCTTTTGAGACAGTCTCACTCTATTACCGAGGCTAGAGCACAATGGTGCAATCTTGGCTCACTGCAACCTCTGCCTCCCGGGTTCAAGCGATTCTCATGCCTCAGCCTCACGAATAGCTGAGACTACAGGCATGCGCCACCATGCACAGCTGATTTTTGTTTTTCTTATAGAGACGGGATTTCACCATGTTGGTTAGGCTTGTCTTGAACTCCTGGCCTCAAGTGATCCGCCTGCTGCAGCCTCCCAAAGTGCTGGGATTACAGATGTGAGCCACCATGCCCAGCCCTTAAGACCTTCTTTGAATACTCCTTTGTATTTATCTTGTGGCCTTAATTTTGCTTTTGGTTAAGGAAATTAGTGAATGGGGTTTAGCTTCATTCTTCATTTAGAGGAAAACTGTAGGTAATTTATTCTGAAAGTGTGGTCAGACGGAATCTAAGAGAACCTGTTTCCCTTGGCGACGAAAAATAATCAGTTGAATGTCTGAATAACAGGAATCCTTTTCTGCTCCCTATGGGAAAAAAGAAACCTTGAGTTAATATTTTATGTAATCAGTGCAATGTGCTACTAGGTAATGAGTGGGAAGTAGATGGAGAATATAGGAAATAATGCTTGGTCTCTGTTCTTTAGAAGATTACAACCACAGGCTGGGCGCGGTGGCTCACGCCTATAATCCCAACACTTTGGGAGGCTGAGGCGGATGGAACACGAGGTCAGGAGTTCAAGACCAGCCTGGCCAAGATGGTGAAACCCCATCTCTACTAAAAAAAAAAAAAAAAAAATTAGCCAGGCGTGGTGGTGGGCGCCTGTAATCCCAGCTACTCAGGAGGCTGAGGCAGAGAATTGCTTGAACCCAGGAGACAAGAGGTTGCAGTGAGCTGAGATCACGCCACTGCACTCCAGCCTGGGCAACAGAGCGAGACTCCGTCTCAAAAAATAAATAAAAAAAAAAAAAGATTACAACTACAGAATAACATAAAATTATATATTTGCGATAAGCAAATATAAACCATGTGGTCTCAGACACACTTTGGCTGCTTCCCCTGTCATAGGTAGAGAATTACCAGAACTCCTCTTTTGTTTTGCCATTCTAGTATTCATGTTATTTACTCCTCTTGGCAAATTTAACTGGTTTAAGAGTGATTTAGTTTACGTAAATTGGGCATTTGGAGGCATTCTATGGTAGAAAGAATGTGTACTTGGGAGTTAACATGTCTTTGAATGCTAGCACCCTCCCTTATCAAGCTATTTGACCACAGGTCCCTCTAAGACTAAACAACTTGAAAGTCTCCCTCAAAATGGGAGTAATAGAATAACTACCTCACAGAGTTGGTGAAAAACACAGGTGTGCTCTGGCCCATGGACATTCAATAAACGTTAGTTTCCTTTTCTTCCCATCTAACTAGGAATGTGTTTTTTCTAGATTGAATGACAAAGTGAAGAAGAAAGCTCTAACATCATTTGAAAGGGATTCCATCTTCAGCAACTTGACTGGGCAGCTTGATTACCAAGGTTTTGAAAAGGCCGACATGGTGATTGAAGCTGTGTTTGAGGACCTTAGTCTTAAGCACAGAGTGCTAAAGGAAGTAGAAGCGGTAAGCAAGGGGCTGTTGTACTTGAATCCTAGTGTAGTGAACAGAAAACACAGAGATTTTTTTTTTAAAGGAGCTATAGGAAACTCATGATTGCTTTTATAAAAAGGACTATTCAAAGGCTGGGCATGGTGGCTCACGCCTATAATCCCAGTAGTTTGGGAGGCTGAGGTGGGCGGATCACGAGGTAAGGAGTTCGAGACCAGACTGGCCGATATGATGAAACCCCATCTCTACTAGAAAATACAAAAATTAGCCGGGCATGGTGGCACACACCTGTAGTCCCAGCTATTTGGGAGGCTGAAGCAGGAGAATCACTGGAACCTGGGAGGCAGAGGTTGCAGTGAGCCGAGATCACGCCACTGCACTCCAGTCTGGGTGACAGAGCGAGACTCCATCTCCAAAAAAAAAAAAAAGACTTTTTGTTATCAAACGTTAAGTTTTTATGTGTGCTCATGCACACTGCATATGTTATAAAGGTCAAATCTAAATTCTAAAGGAAGAAAATGAGGGTGCGTTCACCTTATTCATGTAGGAGCTCTGTCACCCAAACATACAGATAACCTCACAGAGTATAGCCAGATGCTTTGAGATTTTTTGGTTAGCCGAAAGCCAAAAACAAACCTCTTCAGGTCTAAGGCTGCAAAGGAAATAGGGAAGACAGTTCGTCCAGATGCTTGTTCTGTGGAAATGCTGCTTTGGCCCAGCTCCCAAATGTTCTCCATAGGCACTTCTTGAGATGGGCTGACATGAACAAAACAAGTACTTGAAGTGGGGAGTAGGAAGAGTAAGCCCCGAGAAGGAGTAATAGCAGTAATTCAGGGATGAGGTAGGACCAAGGCCTAAGCTAGTCTACAGTTGGATAAACAGAATGTGGGTTACTGAAAGGTGAACATGAAATGATTCTGACTTGGCAACATGCTGGATATAATGAGCAGTGAGCTCATTACAAAAAATAAGAGTACCACAGAGCAAAACTCCGTCTCAAAATAAATAAATAAACAAACAAACAAACATTATCTTCTCTTATTGCCCATAGAGCTAACAAAACCCATTCCTTGGACAATCTTCCACAGGCATGATCTCTAGACCACCCCGTTTCGGTTGTCCTCTCTAGTATCTTCCTCATGTCTCCGTGTTCTACTGCTGTGTTTACAACTATCTTTTCACAATTCTGCAATCTGGGCAGGGCTCTGCAGAGACAGTGGTGCTTAAGTCCATTGATTTCAAGGCTGGGGTCACTCCTGGGCTGCATTCCGCAGGAAGCTCGGTTGGGGCACCTCACTGCTTCCCCCACATCTCTCATAGTCCATCCTCACTTAGTCGTCTCACCACAACTTCTTTGTAGCGTGGCTGCAGGCTTCCAAGAGAACAAAAGCAGAAGCTACTGAGCTTCCTAAGTTTATTGTCAGGAAGAAAAAAAGATAAATAATTTAAAAAATAAAAAAAGAGGCTACCGGGCCCCACAGGTCTAGGTAGGCCTGGAACTGGCAGGGTAACTTCTGCTGCATTGTGTTGATAAAAACAAGTCACAAGACCAGCCCAGATTCAAGGAGAAGGGAAACAGACTCTACTTCTAGCTGGGAGAAAAGACATACATGTCCAAGGAAGGGAAGAATGTTTGCCAGCCAGCTTTGGAGACATTAGTTTGCTCTTCAGAAAGGATTTCACCACCAGCATTAGACACTATATTACTAAGAAAGTAACCTGACACTACGTAAGCTTTCTGACAGTCATGCTGTACTGTCAATTCATTCCACTTTTGTTTTGTTTTTTTGTTGTTAGAGACAGGGTCTCACTCTGTCACCCAGGCTGGAGTGCAGTGGCATGATCACAGCTCACTGTAACCTTGAACTCCTGGGCTCAAGCGAGCCTCTCACTTCAGCCTCCTGAGTAACTAGGACTATGGGTATGTACCACCATGCCTGGCTAGTTTTTTAAAGTTATTTTTTGTAGGGCCGGGCACTGTGGCTCACACCTGTAATCCCAGCACTTTGGGATGCTGAGGCGGGTGGATCACGAGGTCAGGAGTTCAAGACCAGCCTGGCCAAGATGATGAAACCCTGTCTTTACTAAAAACTACAAAAAAATTAGCCAGGCATGGTGGCAGGTGCCTGTAATCCCAGCTACTCGGGAGGCTGAGGCAGGAGAATTGCTTGAACCCAGGCGGCAAAGCTTGCGGTGAGCTGAGATTGCACCACTGCACTCTAGCCTGGGCGAAAAAGCAAGACTTTGTCTCCAAAAAAAAAAAAAAAGTTATGTTTTGTAGATATAGGGTCTCACTATGATGCCGAGGTTGGTCTTGAACTCCTGGCCTCAAGTAATCCTCCATCCTTGGCCTCCTGAAGTGTTGGGATTATAGTTGTTTAGCCACCATGCCCACCCTCCACTCTTGATTAACTAAAATCATGGGATCTTTATCACAAATACTGCCAAGCCAGGTCTTGTCCTTCAAGTACCTATACAGTTCTTTTCTTTCCTTTTTTTTTTAAATCTTAAGGCAGTACTTTACTTTTATTGCATTATAATCTTATTTTGTACTCAGCTTTTCAGTGTGTTGAATGTGTCTTCCTCCTTGATTCTCATCTCTGTTAGGATTCTGCCTGTTCCAGATTTGCACACATTTGACAGGTGTCCCTTCCACGTTTCTCATCCAACCATCTGAATAAAAACATGAATAACTGGGAGGCGGAGGTTGCAGCGAGCCTAGATTGCACCACTACACTCCAGCCTGGGCAACAGAGCGAGACTCTGTCTTTAAAAAAAAAAAACAAAAAAAAAACATGAATAAGTTGGGATCGTGGCCAGAATGCGGAGACAATCTGCATTAGAGACTATTCTCCAGGTGGATAAAGCTAATAGTTAATAGTATTTGTGTACTGTAGCTGCAACTATAGTGGTATGCCGTTTTTTAGTAACACACTGTATAAAATGAGACAAGCATGCACATTTTGGCTTGTTCTTATAAAGGTGAAGCGGGGAGTGATTCAGGGCAGATCCAAACAAAAGAGGAGGTGACACCCATGCTGGGTGTTGAAATCAATGAATTGCAATTCAAGGCCGTCTTTTCAGTGTTGTTCTAAGCTGTTTTATTGACCCAACTGCTGAGATGTAGTCTCCAGGTCAGGATAAGGTGACCTTATGATGGGCCATAACTAGAGGAAGGCAGAATGGGAAAAGGAACAAGGTCAACATATTCCCCGACACAAAACCCCCTAGGTGATCCGTCAATGTCTGGGTGAGTGACATCTACTGTCTGAGCAGTTGTGGGGGACAGAGTGGGCTGGGCCCAGGTGTCACTCATTAGCTTTGATGTGGCCTCTAATCATCTCCCAGGCCTACCTGACACATTGTTAAATGCTTTTCCCCTGCAGGTGATTCCAGATCACTGTATCTTTGCCAGTAACACATCTGCTCTCCCAATCAGTGAAATCGCTGCTGTCAGCAAAAGACCTGAGAAGGTAAACTCGGAACAGAGAAAAACCCTGAGATGTTTTATTGCTTCAGATTCACTGATAAAGGCTTACAGCTTGAGTACAGAAGAGACAGTGGATTACGGAGTGGATGCGGGTGGTTCCTAAACACTGGACACAATAAATGCTAATACCATGACTAGTGTGAGATGCAGGAGTAAGTTAAGTACAACAAAAAATATCCTTTTCAAGGATCCCAAATGGGCATTATTTTTCAGGTTCAGGATATAAAGCCCACCTGTATCCTAGAATTAGGCATTGAAGGATAGGCCTTAAGAAAGGATGCTCCAAAATACCAGTTTGGCTACAGAGCAGAGTCAGTGACTGTTTAGAACAGGTTTGGTTCCACCTCCAGATCAGGGAATGGCAGGAATGGTGGGATGTGTCTGCCCGTGGGTTTGCTTACACCTTCTACCCCGGGACATGAAAGGGCTGGGTATAGAAGCACTTTCTGTGAGTATTTGGAATGATGCCCAGAAATTTATTTTTGCTCTCAACCAGAGTAATTAAGGGGAAGTGAAATCATTCAAAGAGAAGTAAAACAACTCACTTCTCTGGAGGATACCAGTTAGCCTCTGCTAACCAGAACCAGCCGAAGGTAGGCAGGAATTATAAAAGAACTTTAAGCAGCTGAAAGTGTTAATACAAATTCTATGTACTGAAAACACAAAAGCCTATTTATTCCTACTCTTCTAGCTTGCTAATGCAAGGTAATCTAGTTTCCTAGCACACAGCAGATTAGAAGTGATGCGGGGACCTGACAGAGGCAGGCTCAATGATGGCAGGCTAAAGGTCATAGGGAGAAGTTGCAGCCGATAGTCTACAGATGGACAGTCTGGCCATGTCATATCACTCAAGACATCTGTGTGGCATCTAAAATCAGTACAGGCGATGCCGTTGCTGTTCATTTGATGGTAACCTCTCCCCGCCATCGGAGCAGAGCAAGCATCACACTTTGCAGTTCTGCCCTCCAAGTATCTAGGACAGCTTTTCTCACCTGCTTGCCTTTTGTCATTCATTTAAAAGTAAGGCCAAAAAGACAAAATAGGGTGACCAACCATCTTGGTTTGCCCGGGAGCAAGGGATACAGGACCCTCAGTGCCACAAATTGGGAAATCCCCAGCCATCCAGGATGAGTTGGTCATCTTTGGCACAACTTTCTGAGTGATGTAAATATATTTTGCTTGGGTTAGTGATTATATGGATGTATATACAGTTGTCAAAACTCATTGATGTGAACACTTCAAGATCTGTGCATTTTATTATATAGAAATTCTACATCAATAAAGGCTAATTCCTTTTGCTCAGGAGTACTGAGTCTGAATCAGGTCCTAAGTATTTCAGATGTAAGTAAAAGAACACTTTAGGGGTTAGAAACAACTTTTGGATTGATAAGTTTACATAACATTTACTTGATCTGTGTATTACATAATGGCATTGGAGATAGACAGACCTGTGATGGAATCCCACCCCGTCATATGCTGACTGACTCTGTACTACTAACCTCTTGATACCTTTTTTCCTCATCTAGATAATTAGGCTGACCAGTTCATAGGGTTGTAATGGATTAAATGTAAGGAATAAGTGGTAAATGTATTGAAGAGCAGGTAGATAATGAGCAGCCAAAAATTACAGATATCACTTGTTGTACCTTATAGCTAAAGTGAGAGGGAGAAAGCAAAACTATAAATTAATGAATTAGACTTCTTTCACCACAGTTCTGTTGGGAAGACTATGTAACTGTTAGCTCAATGAGGGGTTTCTCTGAAACCTTAGCACGCATCAGAATCACCAGGAGGGATTATTAAAACAAATCTGGGCCCCACCCATGGAGTTTCTGATTCAGTAGGGCTGGGCTAGGCCTGAGAATGTGCAGGCCTAACGCTCCCAGGTGATGACAGTGCTTGTTGGGTCCGGGTACTACACTTGGAGAACTGCTGGTTTAATGAGTCTTAAGTGCATCTGACTGTTGAGGAGTGTTAGTTAAACCTAGTATCCTGGTGGTGAGACCCATCTGTGTAAAATGCAAATACTTCTCTGACAGCCCAACACATTAATTCTTCTGCCTGCCCCACCCCCGCCCAAAAAAACTGGATCCTCTTATCTAAACCATCAGTATCATTAATATAAGTGGAACCTTCATCCGTCGTTCCCCAATAAATCTAGTTTGGCCTCGAGCTGTGGTTTTGGCACTGATTGTTGGGAGGATCAGATGTCTGTAGTGAAAAACCTTAGAAGCAAATGGAAGAGGAGGATTCCAATGTGCTCTCCCTAAACATACTAAACTTTTATCAAAGACCCATGGAACCAAACCACTCAGCTATGTCAAGCAGTATTCCTATATCACAGCCACCTTTCTTTCTAGTGTTTTCCTAGCAGAGAAGGAATGCTCTCAGGTTCCTCACCCGCATTCTCCGATCTGTTGGCTTTTGGTTCCCCTTGCCAGGTGATTGGCATGCACTACTTCTCTCCCGTGGACAAGATGCAGCTGCTGGAGATTATCACGACCGAGAAAACTTCCAAAGACACCAGTGCTTCAGCTGTAGCAGTTGGTCTCAAGCAGGGGAAGGTCATCATTGTGGTTAAGGTAAGGGGCTGTATAACAGAGCTGCAGAGTTTTTGAAAAGTTCTAATAAGACTCCTTTTACCTCCAGGCTTGTTTATAAATATTCTGGGGCAAATGACCAGACTTTGATATGATTTTCCCCTGGGTTGTCTCCAGGATGGACGGTGGTATTGACTGTCCCACTGAGTCAAGGTGGGAGTGGGGAGTATCTAGGATGTGGCAGGGTTCTCCCAGCCATCCCAGACCTTGAAGGTGACCATGAAACTATCTGCTGTACTGTTTGATTCAAGCCAGGCTACCCCTAGTACGGCTTCCCCTGCAATTTCATTTTTAAGGATTCTGATTGAGATTTTAAGTCACCTTAAGTTTTACAGTGACTTTCAAATGACTTTGAAGTGACCCTGGGAAAGGTAGAGTGTTTCAGACTCAGTCCCAGCAGCAGGGCCAGGGAGCTCATGTTCTCTTCCTTGGCAGGATGGACCTGGCTTCTATACTACCAGGTGTCTTGCGCCCATGATGTCTGAAGTCATCCGAATCCTCCAGGTTGGTATTGCTCTCCAGAGTGTTTGCGGCATCTTCCACTCCTTCAGTCACTCTAAAACTCATGATGTCAAGATAAGGACCAAGCTTCCTTCTGATACACCAACTCCTGCTCTTGTCTAGGAAGGTCCCTGGTGCCCTCTCTCTGCACAGCAGTCGGAAGTTGGGCTTATACTGCACTGAAAGGGGCAGAGCTTTCCCTCTGCCCCACAGCCTCCTCACTGTTCCAGCAAGCTAAAGGCACCCCACCCCCCAGCATGTCTTCTATGCTGTTTCTGCACCTCTCTGAGGCAGGGACCATCCAGAACAGGGCCCGCTTGGTTCAACTGGTGCTGCATCTGTTTCCACAGCACACAGACCTCTCCAGTAGCCATCGAGGTCATTCTGGCAGGAAAGGAGAGGGATCCTCCTCGCTGGGCACTTACCCAGACTTGGGGATCACAGGGCTCTGAGTGCTCCTCTTTGATGATGTTTCTTCTGTTGGTCATGACACACTCAGCCGTCTGTCATGCAATCTCCTTATTATTGAGATTCAGAAATGCAAACAAGAAGAAAATGAAGAATTTAGTCATCTCTAAACGTCCTTAAAGTGCTGTAGATTAGAGAAGGCTCAGACTTTCCACTTGTGGCCCCAAACTTCTTTGTGCTTCCCTGAATGAAATAGCACCAGTCCTGGGCCTGGTCAGGTGACACTCAGAAGTGGGTTTTACACAAGGCAGTGTTTGGAGCCAGTACAGGGAGCCCTTTGGGGGGATTTGGGCTGCCCTTCCCCTGAGGTCCCTGCATCGCTTCCTGTTCAGGAAGGAGTTGACCCGAAGAAGCTGGATTCCCTGACCACAAGCTTTGGCTTTCCTGTGGGTGCCGCCACACTGGTGGATGAAGTTGGTGTGGATGTAGCGAAACATGTGGCGGAAGATCTGGGCAAAGTCTTTGGGGAGCGGTTTGGAGGTGGAAACCCAGAACTGCTGACACAGATGGTGTCCAAGGGCTTCCTAGGTGAGTAGCCTCAAGGAAACATAACTAGCACCATTAGTTACAAAGTTCTAAGCAGTTCCTGAGACCAAAGAGTTACAGAAGCCCTCGTGGAAGAAAGTTTTCTAAACACAGAGCCCTTATCACTGGCGATTTCAAAAATGATTTTATGAGTCAGGTGCGGTAGCAACCACTTATGGTCTTAGCTGCTTAGGAGGCTGAGGTGGGAGGATCGCTTGAGCCCAGAAGTGTGAGGCCAGCCTGGGCAACATGGCGAGGCCCCTTCTCAAAAAAAAAAAAAAAAAAAGATGTCATGTGAACCTTCTAAGGGCTAGGACTATAGATTATGGACAAAAGGCAGAGTTCTACCCTTCTGGGGCTCTAGCATCACCTGGTCCAAGTTATGCCAGATGGACAAGCATTTTTATCCCCCAGAGATGAAATCTGCAATAGTGCAGAAGCAAGCTCTGCATCCGGGCTTTACCATGCTGTCTGGCCACCTGTGAGGAGAATGTATAAGCTCACCATACACAGTATACAGTTGAGGCCCACAGAGAAGTGACTTTCTGTCTTGGCAAAACAGCAAAATCAGCATTACAACCTGGGTGTTCTAGGACCCGGTGCTGCATATGGGGATGTTAAAACTCACCCAGGTGGCCTTTCTCATCCATGTACACAGATGCCCAAGCTCCGGGTCACAAGATCTTCTTTCCTTCTCTGCCCACTCTTCTGACAAAGACTAATTTGCTAGGGTTAGCTAGACATACAAATTCAGGAATTCAGAAGAGGCCAGAGCTTTATAATAGACCAACAGAGACAAGAATTCTCAGGTCAGGGTCTTTTTTGTTTGTTTTTTGTTTTTTTTTGAGACAGAGTCTCACACTGTTGCCCAGGCTGGAGTGCAGTGGCATAATCTCGTCTCCACCTCCCGGGTTCAAGCGATCCTCCTGCTTCGCCCAGCTAATTTTTGTATTTTTAGTAGAGATGGGGTTTCACCATGTTGGCCAGGCTGGTCTCAAACTCCTGACCTCAAATGATCCTCCGCCTCGGCCTCCCAAAGTGCTGGGATTACAGGCGTGAGCCACCACGCCTGGCCAGGCCAGGGTTCTGAGAACAAATAGTAACACTCCCTCCCTGAGAACAAATAGTAACACTCCCTTTTCTTGCCTGTTTTAGGTCGTAAATCTGGGAAGGGCTTTTACATCTATCAGGAGGGTGTGAAGAGGAAGGATTTGAATTCTGACATGGATAGTATTTTAGCGAGTCTGAAGCTGCCTCCTAAGTCTGAAGTGTAAGTCCGTTTGAGTGGCTAATGCCTGGAAATTGACTTTCTCTGACAGCCCAAAGCTTCCCAGCCCCTCTTCCATTTTTTTTTTTTTTTAATACTTTAAGTCCTGGGATACATGTGCAGGTTTGTTACATAGGTATACACGTGCCATGGTGCTGTCTTCCATTTTCTTTGTGACCACCATACCTGAACAGGAGGACCACTCCTGATGCTGGCATGGTGCTTTCCAAGTGGAAGGCCCTCGCACGTGCTCCTTGGTCTCTGCCCAGCATCTAGGTGAGAACCAGGCCACGTCTGGTGAAGGCCCTCCCCTGCTCCAGCCTTCTCTGGCAAGTTCCCAGAGAGCCGCTGGAAGGACAGATTCTCCTTGGCCCCTTCACCCTCCCAGATCTTTATTATCATTTGTGAGCAGCTGACTGTTGCTGATGTCAAAGAGATACTGATTATCTTCTCGGCACCAGGCCCTGTTCTAGGTGCTCAGTTTCATGTTAATTAGGGCAAGTTACTCTCCACTTTTTCCATGGGAAAGTTTGGTTCACCCAGGCAGCATCTTCTCTGAGGGCCAGCACCAACCGGCCCACAGAGCTCCCCATGCACCCATCCCGACTTCCATTCTGCATCTGCGGCTCTGGCTTTCCTCCCCTTTTCCTCTTCTTCTACCTAAACATCTCTTTCTGTTGGCAGCTCATCAGACGAAGACATCCAGTTCCGCCTGGTGACAAGATTTGTGAATGAGGCAGTCATGTGCCTGCAAGAGGGGATCTTGGCCACACCTGCAGAGGGAGACATCGGAGCCGTCTTTGGGCTTGGCTTCCCGCCTTGTCTGGGAGGTTGGTCTCGCAGGTTGGGAAGGAAGCTCACTTTAGCCTGGAGCCCGTGTTGCGTCTCCTTCAACGAAGTCCTCTTTCTCTATTCAGGGCCTTTCCGCTTTGTGGATCTGTATGGCGCCCAGAAGATAGTGGACCGGCTCAAGAAATATGAAGCTGCCTATGGAAAACAGTTCACCCCATGCCAGCTGCTAGCTGACCATGCTAACAGCCCTAACAAGAAGTTCTACCAGTGAGCAGGCCTCATGCCTCGCTCAGTCAGTGCACTAACCCCAGCTGCCGGCAGTGCTGGTTCTCCAACAGAGTGGTGTCTAGATTTATCAGAGTAACGAGAAGACAAACTCCGGCACTGGGTTTGCTCCCTGATTAAAGTGCCTTCAGCCAAGACCATCTCTCCCTCCTGGTGAAGTGTGACTTCGAATTAGTTTGCACTTCCTGTTGGAAGGTAGAGCCCACTGCTCATTGTATAAGCCCCGAGGCCTAGAGTGGCAGCCAAGAGCCATCTGAAGCCACCTCTCTGCCTGTTCCTCCCAAGAGGCCAGGGTGGCCAGGGGTGGTGAGGGCAGTTCTGCACCCAGCCAAACACATAACAATAAAAACCAAACTCTGTGTCAGCATCTTTGCCCTTCTGGTTTAAACGCCTCCTTCAAAAAGCAATCTGGAAGAAAGCCCTGTGCTTTGGGGGAGTAAGAATGTGTGTGCAGAATTCTAGGCAGCACCTTAGGGAGGGACTGGGATGAGAGAAAGTGGGACCTGGTGGGCTCAACCACACACACCTGTCTGTGCAGATGCTTTGCCCAGGCTTCTCACCACGGTGTACCGGGATATTAAACCTCTTTCCCCAGCCTGGATTTCCTCATTGTGTGATCTTACCCATTTCTTTTCTGGGTGTGCCTCATTCATAGGTGCTTCTTGGGATGGTTGTGGGAACGTTGGTGCTAAGCAGAGGCGCTGACATCTCCCTTGATGTTCGGAGATCCTGCATAGCAGGGCTGCCCCAGAAATGCCTGTGCGGTAATCAGGCAGCACGGGAGCAGCATGAGGAGTGCTGACCCCCACAGCACCTGCACTCCCCCAAAGCTTCAGCCCCTCCCCACCCCACCCCCTGGGATGGAAAGTTCCTACAGAAGCAGTGCCCAGTCTGGGTAAACAGCACTGGGGCTAACTGGGTCTGGCAGAAGGATCCACGCTGAGTGTGTGCGGAATCGTAATTCCAGTCCCATCACATTCTGCATTCTAAATTGTCAGATATTACCAGTTACTCCTGCCTCTGCTCCAGTTGTACTTCAAATATGTCCCTGGTCCCAGCTCTGTAGCTGGGACTGGCAGGCAAGGAGATCAGGTCTGGCTCTGCTTGGTCACTAGGAAGCCAGACTCTAAAACCAAGTCACCTCTGAGTTGAGGTTTTCAGATGACCAGAGTAGGGAGCTGATCCCTTGCACCAAAGCCATTAACCGGTTTCCAAATTTGGTCTGAGAGAGCCTGAAGCCGGCATTCTGCCAATGCAGGAAGCTAAGCTTGGGCCCTGGCTGGTGGCATTCAGCTTTGAGCCTGGGTCTTTCCCTTCAGTAACACCAGGTAGGTGTGAATTATGTTGAAACTAGTGGAAGCTGGGGTGGGGGTTCTTGAAGGGTAGGGAGGGGCTGGCGAGGGCCCTGCAGAAGGGAATGAAGGCTGCCACCAGCCGCCTCCACAGACATGGGAATGGCCACACACCCACATCATTCCTCCATCAGTCCTCTCCTGCCAGAAGGCATATACACTGTGCCCATGGGTCCCCATGGCCTTGTTTTCAAAAGAAGAAAGCAGCTGGCACCCAGAATGCCACTTGTACTCATCTTCAGCAGTCTAGCATTTATTTCATTAGTCCTTGAGGATTCATTAAATGATCTGCAAGAAAACCAAATGTCCCCACATCACAGGTTCTGTGCTCTACTCTCTGACCACTTCTCTGAGCTGAGGCAGCCTGCTTGGAGTATGGGCACCAGCATGGCTTAGCTACTTTTAAGATAAAAAGTGGAGGAAATAAATAGGTAGACTAGGTAAGGCAGAAGAGAAGGCTGGCACTTTGGGCCCTGACACTAGTGGGCACCCTGTGGTTCTGGGTGAGATGGAGGACACGGATGGGGTGGGGTGTGTGGTTGGACACAATGACCAGAGCTCTGGGTACCAAGCAGATCCCCATGTTTGAGATTCAAGGGCACAAAGGCCTGCTGTGAGGCACGTGAACAAATGCAGGACTGAGCTCCAGGAACGCACTCTCCCAACTGTACCCTCCTGTGCCAGTGACAGAAAACCAGGGAAAAACACCAAGTATTGTCAGAGACAAATGATGGGGGCAAGAGATTGGCGGAATTGGAGGTGGTTGACTACCGCTTGCTTCTAGAATCAAGGAGAAGCTGACCTAAATCAACCTGCTCTTCCACGGAATCAGTATTCTGAGACTGAACGCCACCTGACGGATGGATGACTAGCTGCAGTAAAGTCAGAGCAGAAGCCAGGGTGCTAGAGTCATCTGGGCAGTGTCTGGCTTCCTAACTAGATAAGTGGGTCGGGTCAATTGCAGAGCTGTGCTCTTCCAAAGTTGTCACCCATGAACCAGGACCCACAGGTGGAGCCTCTGAGGTGCCATGGGTTAGGCTTGTACACGACTCACCTGTGTGCGGGGCCAGGCCCCACCCCCCTCAACCACGGTGGAGCAGAGGGGGAAGGGAAAGGCATCTCACAGACACAGACATCTACACCCTCACTCTGGGGCAGCTTTAGGCCAAAAGCCAACAGAGCACAAAGGAGAGTGGGCACTTGGGAAATCGGTGCTTAAATTACCAGCCATCTTCTTGTCTCTAAACAGAGCCTACAGGCTTCAGCAGTGGAAGTCGTTTGTGAAGGTCTATAGCAGGGCATGAGGTGGTGTTAGGTCACCCTGAAGGCCAGCTTTTGACCCCGTTGTGGGAATCACGGCAAATGCCTTACTGGGCCCAGGTACACAGTGGTGCCCCCAGCCCCTTCCCCATGTACTCTGCACACTCAAAGGCAAGATGTCCCGTGCAGGGGTCTGACCCCAGAGGACCACATTTCCACATGCATCTCCCCTGGATCCACCCAGTGGCTGCTGAGCAGCCTCAGTCTCGACATAGATCCTTCTTGCAGGCAGCACCTGCTCCTCCGGAGTGCTGTACCTGGGGCCCCCATACCAGCATTCCAGCTGTGCAGCTCCAGCTGGGCAGTTCAGATCTTGGGCCTCCAGCCTTTGATGAACTGCATGATCTTCTTGACCTGCAGCTTGGTGAGGTGGAAGTCATCTGCCAGGATGTCCTCACTGAGCTGCACAAAGATGCTACCATCGATGCGTTCTCGGGCAAAGAAGCTCACCACATCCTCTGAGAGCCCGATGAAACGCAGACTGCGAGAGACCTCCTCCAGGGAGAGTGCAGACAGGTCAGCAGGGGGCTGCCAGGAGGAGGCATCTCGGACTCCAAAGCCTGTGGCTCCATCCCGGGGACTGGCAGGAGGCCCTTCCAGGCGCCCTTGGGTTAGAAAAAGTGCTCCTCCCGCCTCGGGTCCCTGCAGAGCAGCTGGTGACAGTGGGGTGGGGACCTGGTGCAGCACCAAACCTTCAGGCTCAAAGGCCTTGGAGGGGCCAAGTGGTGAAAGGCGGGGTCCAGGCCCAGGTGTCCCCACTGCTCTGGGCTCCTGAGAACGCAGCAGCTCAGGCTCTGGAGAACTGCCCTGCCCCAGCTCAAAGGGATCGAAGGGCTCCAGGACTGGTTCCTGCCATTCAGAAGAAGAGGAGGAGGAGGGGGCGCAGGAGGAGGGGGGAGCAGCTGAATAGGCCTGGCCTGGCGAGGCTGGGCCTGGGGAATACGCAGGGCCAGAGGTAGCCACAGGACCCGAGGTGGTTCTGGGCCCAGAAGACAAGGCCGCTGAAGGGCCTGAGGGGTAGGCAGGCCCGGAAAAAGGGTTGAGAGCTCCAAACGGAGCAAAGCGCTTCTGGGGATGTGAGGGCTTGAATAGAGGAGGGCAGCTGTGGTAGGTCTTAACAGGGGTGTCAGCCCCCAGAAGGGAGGCGGCTCGACCGCTCAGAGGCTCTGTGAGGGCCCGGGAGGCCTGGCTGGGCTGTGTGGTTGAGGGTAGGGGACCGGGGGCTGGGCGGCTAGAGGACTCGCCCACCTTGCAGTCTCCCCAGGTGCATGGGTAGCAATAGAGGGAGTAGGTGTCCGGCGATGGGGAGCCACTGCCACTGCGGGAACCCGCCCTGTGGACAGAGACAGACACACACACATAGGACAGGTGAGGCTGAGAGGGAATCCGATAGGGTCACACATGCATTGCAACCAAGCACCACTATGACCTCAGCAACACGGGCCTGCACCCCAGCCCCAGCCCAAGACCCTCCGGAATGGCCGTGTTCTTCCTTCCAGCATCCCCCAGCCCAGGTCAGAAAACACAGGGGAAAAATGAAACGAAACTGAAATTAATAAAAATATTTTCTTTCAATTTTTTTTCTTTTGAGATGGTGTTCTCGCTCTGTTGCCCAGGCTGGAGTGCAGTGGTGCAATCTTGGCTCACTGCAACCTCCACCTCCCGGGTTCAAGCGATTCTCCTGCCTCAGCTTCCCGAGTAGCTGGGATTACAGGCATGTGCCGTAATGCCCGGCTAATTTTTGTATTTTAGAAGACATGGAGTTTCGCCATGTTAGCCAGGCTGGTCTTGAACTCCTGACCTCAAGTGATTCACCCAACTCGGCCTCCCAAAGTGCTGGGATTACCGGCATCAGCCACCGCACCTGGCCTGAACTTAATCAAAATTTCAAAACAGCAAGGAGCTCTCTTCTCTCTATCCTGCAGCAAAGTCCCCACCTTGAGGGGACCAGGGCAATGCTCCCATCCGTTCCTCAACATTTAAGAGAGAAAGAAGCTGAAGTGGGCAGAACAGGCCACTGGGCCCCAGGCCCCAAGACACCCAGACAGCAGTGCCAATCCCTGAGCCACTGCACAGGGAGCTGCACCCTCGGGAATCTCCCAGGCCTCAAGACTTCCTCTTCCTCAGCACTGTAGTTCCCCCTCCTCACCCTTCCCTGCCTTGATCTACCTTAGAACTCAGGACCAAGGGAAGGCAGGGACTCACCCATCCTGGAGGCCAGAGGAGTAGTAGGAGAGGCTGGAGCTGGGGGAATGTACCGGCTGCAGCTTGGGGAAGCGAGGGGGAACCGGGGGGCTGCTGGAGAGCCGGCCGCTGCCATTGCCACCCCGGGGAGGCACTGGAGGGGCATTGAGCAGGCGGCACTCCTCCTTCACCTACAAGCAGAGGGCGGTGACTCCACCTCGACTCCAAACAGCTGGCACTCCTTATCTTCCCCTTCCCAAGCAGCTGGGCGAGGGGGCTGTCTGGGCCTGACATTTGCCCCACTTTGCCAATAGGCTGCCTTGCACCCCAACTGCTCATCCAGTCAGCCAGCCACCCCACCCTTCCTAGCCTTCCCAGCCTATCTCACGCACCCACACCCTGTCCCACAGCCTCCTTCCTGTTCCTTGGAAATCCATCATGGATGTTAAGAAAAAGAACACAAAGGTAGATCAAAACAGGTTAAGCAGACGTGCTCCCTCCTCAAGGAAAAGGAGAGAAAGCAGAGGACAAAGGAAAGCCGAAGGGACAGAGGGAAGGAAGCGTCTGCCACCTGCATCCCTCCCTACAAGTCGTGTACCCCAAAGAGGACTCCATGGGATGCTGACGGGTGTTACGGGCAGGGAGAAAATGTTCTGATAAACAGGATTCCTTAGTGCAGGACTTCTCAGAGCCTTTAATCTACCAATGCTCTGTGACTCCAATATGAGGAGGGAAAAAGGGCTGGGAATCATTCACAGCATTTCTAAGCTTACTTCGCCAAGGAACCTTCTTTTCACGCAACAACTTAAAGGACCCCTGTTCTGTGGTACCTTCTGGGTAACAGTGCTTCGGGGCTCCTCTCAAATCCTCTGAGGCTGGGGACCTACACGCATCTCTGTCCCACAGCTCTCCCGCCACCGCCCGCCCCAGTGCCCCTTACTACAAATGCTTTTGCCTGGCATGCCTCTGCCCTTTCCTTCTCCCCTTCCCCACCCCGCCGAGGAAGACACCTCGTCTGCCACATACTCCGGGGCCGGGGCCCAGGAGAACGGGCTTTGGGCCCTGGCTGGACCCGGGACTCGGCCCCCAGCGCGCTCACTCACCGCCTCGGATTTGGGAGGGACTGGAGGCGGCGGCGCTTCCGGCTCCCGACGCGGCGGTCCCGCGGCCCCGAAGGAGATGAGATCGAGCCCTGGGGGCGGCCGGACGAGGCCCTCGGGCCCCTGGTGCGCCCACAACTCCTCGTAGGGGATCTCGGCGGGCGGCGCGGCGGGCTCGGGCGCGGCTGCCCAGTCGGGGCTCACGTACTCCTGGTCGCCCTCGCCGGCGGGAGCCGGCGCTAGCGGGCCGGGGGCGCGGGCGAGCCCGGGGGCGCGCGGCGCGGGCAGGCAGAGGCGCGCGCGGCGCGGGCTGGCGCAGTCTTCGGCGAGCTCCGCTGGCGCCTCGCGCACGGCCGTGGAGTACTCGTCGGGGTCGAAGCGCTCGCGGCAGTAGGAGGCGCTGTCGCGCACCAGGCGCTCGACGCGCGGGTCCCCGGCCAGCAGGCCCTGCGGCAGCGCGAAGCGCGGCGTGTCCGTGAGCAGCAGGAAGTGCAGCGGCGCCGGGCCCTCGCGGCGCAGCGCCAGCCCCAGCACCACCGTCTTGGAGATGATGCTAACCAGCTTGTAGCAATGACCCTCCCGCACCGGGTGCAGGTCGTAGGGGTTGCGCGGCGGCCGGCTGGGCACCAGCACGTTCACCGGCAGCCTCACGCGCTCGATGATGGCGCGCACCGTGTGCTCGCCCTCTTGCATCTGCAGCTCCAGCGGGCTGCGAGTGCTGAAGCGGCCCTGGCACTGAAAGGGCAGGCTCAGGCTTTCGTTGGTGCGGTGGTTCATGCAGATGAGGCAGGGCATCTTGCCTTTGACCGGCCTGGCGCCCCCGCCGCCAGTGCCTCCCGCGGCCCCCGCGCTCGCTGGGCCGCCGCCGCCCACCCCGGCCAGCGCCCCGGCCCGGCCCAGCTTTCGCAGGAGGGTGGTGAAGCGCGAGCGCTCCTTGGTGGTCTTGGCGCACAGGATCTCCGCCTGGCCCATAAGAGTGAGCTCGTCGCCCGCATGCAGCGTGAAGTTGTACACCTCGCTGTCCTCGCTGAACTCGCCCGACACCACCTGGGGATCCCAGAGACAGGGCAGGGCCTTAGCCAGGTCCCAGGGAAAGCCACACGGCCAGCTCCCAGAGACTGGAAAGGGAAAACAGCCTTCCTCTTCCGCCCTCCCGGGGCTCGGACTAGATGGTAGGCCAGGAGATCCACGTTCATCCTGGAGAGACCACTAGCAGCTGTGCCACCTTAAATGAGTTGCCCCTCCACGCCTTAGCGACCATATCTGATAACTCTTACTTCGAAGAACTGCTGTAGGATTAAAAAGACTGTGCAGTGACATATTTTTCTTTTCTTCCCCACTACTTGGATCAGCAACATATTTTAAAGTATGCAGTAAATGGCGACTTTTATCATCATTGTCTTTACCATTTGGGCGATCATAATGCCCTACCCATCCAACAAGGCTAAGTGAAGAGAAATGAATTGATGGATAAGAAAAGGGTTTGTAAACAGAACAGCACTATCTGTACATAGCAGGGACTGCTTTTAGTTGTTTTTGTTTGTTTGTTTGTTTGTTTGAGACAGGGTCTTGCTCTGTCTCCCAGGCTGGAGGGCAGTGGCACATTCACAGCTCAGTGCAGCCTCAAACTCCTGGCAACAGTCCTCCCGCCTCAGCCTCCCAAGTAGCTAGGACTATAGATACGCACCACTATGCCCAGCTAATTTTTTAACATTTTTTGTAGAGACAGGGTCTCTCCATGTTGCCCAGGCTGGTCTCAAACTCCTGGCCTCAGTTGATCCTCCCTCCTCAGCCTCCCAAAGTGTTGGGATTACAGGCATGAGCCACTGCTCCCACCCCACAGCAGGGGTCTATTTACACTGCCTGCTCACCACAACCACCGCCTCTACAAGTGGGTGCTGGGGCAGCTAGGGACAGGTTGCCCTGAAAAGTCTCCAAGTCAGAACATGACCCTTCCAGACACCCGCTCCTGCTTCACTACCTTTCATAGGAAGTCCTTCAGCCCAGTGGGTCCTATTCCCCACCCTTCTGACATGGCTTGATTGTGCCAAAGACCCCTAAGGGGTCCCCAGGAGCCGCTCTCCTTCTTGGATCCTGAGGGCAACCTTCCAACCAGAGTCAGGGTTGCCCCTGAGGCAAGGAGTAGTGTGGGGACACCACACCTGGTGAGGGAGTGACTGACCTTGACGCTGAAGGTGATGGCTTCCATCACGAAGATGCGGTCAGGGAAGACACTGGCCACCTCCTCCACGCTGCTGAAGTACCTCACTGGCTCCCGCACATCCCGGGCCTGTTCCAGGAGCTTGAACTTCCCTGCATAGTGGGTGACAAAAGTTGCTGGAGTGGGCCTGCCTGCTGGGAGTCTAGCCTGCGTCCCAAGAGCCTTCATGGTCACTTGCTACCATAATCTCGGCCAGCCCCTCAGGAACTCAGGAGGGCCAAAGGGCAGGTTTCCACTGGCATGGGCTGAAGGGGGCTGGTCATCTGGCTCCAGCCTCAGCAAGGTGAGCACAGATCCCTAGCAACTATAGCCCAGCCCTCCCCCCATAGAGAGCCTGTGGGTATGCAGTGAGGCTAGCGGCTGCCTGCCCAGAGAAACCCAACTGCAAATAGCCCCAAACATGTGGACACAGCTGGCCTCTGATCAACTATCAGTGTGGTACCGGGATGCTGGCTCCTTGCTCTGTCCCAGCCTGACCTCTGACTTGCCGTGACAAGTTCCTTTCCCTCTCTGGGCCTCTGGGTCCTCATCTGAGGGGGTAGGGACAGATGATCATGGGCCCTACCTGGATCTGGCATCCTGTGCATCGCCCTGGGCTGCTGATCCGCATGGAGGTGGCACTGGGCCAACCAGGGCCTGGCCCAGCCCTTGAAGGCCCTGGGAGAACCACTCTGACCCCAGCTCTGTTCCCACACCCTGCCCTGGTCCAATATCCAATCCTACTCTCCCAGAGGCTCTGACCTGAACCCAGCAAAGCCACCTCCCTGAGAGTAGGCCTTCCCAACCTGCAGTCTGGGGCTGCGTGCTTTGCCAAGCTCAGCACATGCCCCTAGGAGACACAGACTTTACGGAAGTGATTGCCAGTCTGTGAAGCTGACATCCCTGTGTAAGCTCTCTCACCTCACTGGCCAGACACCTGTTATATGCATACCCACATGAGCACAAAACAAGCTCTGAGCCGCCCTGGCATCTGATGGATGGCCTCTTCTCAAGCTTTATACAGTAGGAAGAGAGCCATGAATAGGTGAGGGAACAAGTCGAGAGAAGACAAGGTGACTCTTTAGCCTCTGGGTGTTTTTTTTGAGACAGGGTCTTGCTGTCGCCCAGGCTGGAGTACAGTGGCATGATCACAACTCACTGCAGCTTCAACCTTCTGGGCTCAAGGGATCCTCCTGCCTCAGCCTCTCAAGTACCTGGGACCACAGGCATGTGCCACCATGCCTGGCTAATTTTTTATTTTTATTAGAGATGACGTCTCATGATGTTGCCCAGGCTGGTCTCAAACTCCTGGGCTCGAGCAATCCTCCTGCTATGGCCTCCCAAAGTGCTGGGATTACAGGTGTGAGCCACCGCGCTGGGCCTTCTTTAGCTTCTGAAGCCCCTGTGGTAGTTGCTTCTGTCACAGTTCATTCATTTAATTATTGCACAGATATTGATGGAGCACTCACTATGTGTCAGACACTATGGTAGGCCACACAGAGGGTACAAATCTGTGTAAAATACAGTCTGCCCTTAAAGAAATCCAGATATAATGGGTGAGACGATGAGTACCCAATGGTGGCAGGATGTGATAAGTGCTACAACAGACTTGTGACAAAAGAGTTACAAGACGGCTAGGTAGGCAAAACCTGCCTGGCGGAATCTGAGAGGATCACTGAGCTGCACCTTAAGAATCAAAGGGAATTCACAGAATGGGCATTCCCTGTGGAAGAAACACTGTAAACACAGACACAGAGACACAAAAGCAGACCACCTGCCCCAGATGGTGCGTGCCTGCAGGGAAGGACTTAGGGAGAGGGAGGACAGGAGGGGATGCAGACAGCAACTGGGATTTGAAAGGCTCTGAATGCCTTGCTAAAGCAGTAAAGCTTTATTCTGTACAACATGAGACCCACTGGAGTGTTTCGAGCAAAGAAATACCATGATCCAGGTTCAGCTCTATTAAAATAACCGGGAGACCAGTCAGGTAAACAAACCAGTAAGGGGTTCTGGAGAAGAGCTAGGGAATAGCAGAAACAGACCAAGAGATACTGGGAAGGGAGACCCAGCAGGCTTGGGTGACAGAAGAAGGGGGAGGTGGGGAAGGAAGGGACTCAGGATGATGTACTCAGGCCACCAGCCTGGTCAGAAATGGAGATGGCAGGCCAGGCACGGTGGCTCACGCTTGTAACCCAGCACTTTGGGAGGCCAAAGTGGGCAGATCACTTGAGGTCAGCAGTTTGAGACCAGCCTGGCCAACATGGTGAAACCCCATCTCTACTAAAAATACAAAAAACTCTCTGGGTGTGGTGGCACACACCTGTAGTCCCAGCTACTTGGGAGGCTGAGGCAGGGGAATCGCTTGAACCTGGAAGGCAGAGGTTGCAGTGAGCTGAGATCACACCACTGCTCTCCAGCCTGGGCAACAGAGCGAGACTCTGTCTCAAAAAAGAAAAGAAAAGAAAAGGAGATGGCAGAGCTGTTAACCAAAACTGGGAACCCAGAAGAAACATGTTGTGGGGCCAAGGCAGATCCTGGAGAGGCCAAGAAAGGGGCCTTCAGGTGGTGCTCCTAGGGTGGGTGCCACCAGTGAAATAGACTGGCCAGTGAAATAGACTGAAGGTCACCAGCCCACAGGTGGCAGCCTCGGCTGTGAGGCAAGTGAGATGGCTCAGGGAAGAGGAAGAGCAGGGGGCTTGACCCTTTGGGGATGTTCATCCCAGAAAAATGCCCACACTGTGCTCCTAGCATGAACACACACACAATTGTGTGTTCAGTGCTGGGGGTTCCTGGAGACCCCTAAACCCAGCGAGAGACCCAGATGAAGACACCCATGGTGCAGGGTTAGAGGAGCAGAGGTCAGGGCCTGAAGCATCATCACGGAGCAGGGAGAGAAATGAGAGCCCAGAACAAGGGGAAATGACTAGGAGAACGCTGGCGGGGGAGCCCCCAGGCCTGCCCTCCCCGCCCTGGGACCCTCCTGGGAAGAGGCCTCTGAAGTGCCACAGCCCTAGAGGGCAACAGAGGAAAAATGTGGAGGGGGGCAGGCAAGAAGCAGGGGTCTAGGACTTGGGAAGCAGGAACTGCAGGCACTGAGTAGCCTCCTCCCCTCACTCCCGCCTCCTCCCCCAAGTCCACACACAACCCCCACCCCCGCCCCTGCCCCAACCACAAGTAGCCAGGCAGGGAGCAATGCCCACTGCCCCCTGTGGGGCGACTTGGAGCCAAGTCAGGGCTGGAGCTGGGGGAGGATGTGGCAGGAAAGATCGATGTAACCATGGCATCCAGCACCATCCCCCTCCGCGGCAGCCTGAAGCCCAGCGCCGGTCATTACTGCGGGAGGAAGGAAGGGAGCCCTCCAGGGAGTGATGCTCTGGACCCTGGAAGCCTTTTCCTCCCCGCCAGCCCAGGGGCGGCTTCCTCTCCTGCCTCCCCCTGTATGGAACCTGAGGTCCCCCACGGCTCTAAGGACCTGCTCCATCCTGACCTGCCCCTCCTCCTTGTCCTTGCCCTCAGAGCACATGGCTGCCTCGCTCCTCCCTTCCAGCCCCAAGCACCTGAGGGCTGTGGCAGGGGATTGCTGACCACCCTTCTCCATGCCTGCCCCACAGCACACACTCAGTAAAGAACGTGGGTAAAAGCTCAGGCTTTGGAGTGCGACAAATCTGGCTGAATCCCACCCTGCCACTAGCCAGCTGTGTGACCTTGGGCAAATTATTTAATCTCTCTGGGCTTCGGATTTCCCGTCTGTAAAATGGAAACATCCTAGTTGGGCCAGAGGCGCATCTGCCAAATGCTGAGCAGGAAACAAGGCCAACACTGGGGAAGTGGCACCATGCTCAGGGAAGACGCCTGGCCCCTCCCGCAGGGCCAGGGGCGGGGGCTGGGACGGGGGACAGTACGGGGCCAGGCCAGGTCTCCCTGACTCCCGGAGCAGAGCGCCGCAGCCTGGAGACCGAGTCACCCCGCAGTGCCTTCAGCCCCACCCGGCGCGAGTCGCCGTCCTCCTCCCTCCACGGCCTTCCCCTCGGCTCTCTCCGCGGTCCGCAGCCGGCCACCCCCGCCCGCCCGAGCGCCATTATTAATTCATTAGGAGAAATCAGCGTGGAGCCCAGCCGTGCACTCAGCGCCTCCTCGTTAACCCGCCGGCCTTCGCCCTCCTAGGGGCCTCTGCCTCCGCCTCCGCCTCCTCCTCCCCTCCCCCGTGCGGGCGGACAGAAGCAGCCCCGCGAAAAGATGGGGCTGGGGCCGCGCCCCCCAAGACCACCACCCCTCCAAGACCACCACCGTACACAGGCACGCAGGGGCGCCAGAGAGATGGGAGGAAGAGCTAGGAGCCCCCGGACCCACGGTTCCCTGGGAGACTGTGCCTTGGGTTCCCAGAGTTTTAATGACACAACCAAAATGAAGTCCCTAAAGTCACGTTTTTTTCAGTGAGGGATTTTCCCAACCTTTCTTTTTCTCTTTTCTTTTTAATTTTTATTTATTTTAGAAACACCATCTTGCTCTGTCTCCCAGGCTGGAATGCAGGGGTACCATCATAACTCACTGTAGGCTCAACCTCCTGGACTAAAGGGATCCCCCCCACCTGGCTTCAGTATCCCCAGTAGCCAGACTACAGGCCTGCGCCACCACGCCTAGCTAATTTATTTGTTGTTGGGGGGGGGGGTTGTTTGTTTTTGTTTTTGTTTGTTCTCGCTATGTTGCCCAGGCTGGCCTGGAACTCCTGGCCTCAAAGGAGCCTCCTGTCTCAGCAAAGCACTAGGATTACATATAAGAGCCACTGCTCAGGCAACTTTTGCTTTTTTTATCCCAAGAAGACCTGGGACCTCCCCCTGAACCAAGCTTGGAAATTTCTAGCTTGAGCAGGCCCCCAGTGGGCTCCAAGCCCAAGATAGAACCCCAGGTCAGAAAGAAATCTGAGTGAGTTTCCACATCTTTTAAGGGTTTGGGGGGTGGAGTACACAGGTACCAACTTCACAGGCTGTAAAAGACAGAAGCCTCTGTAAAGGGCTCAGTCCTGTCCTCCTGGCTCAGGGAGACCCAGGGCCAGAGGAGGCAGGGGTACCTGTGAAGAAGCAATGGGACCTTCCCAGCCTTGGTGAGGGGGTTGTCAGGAGCAGCTGGGCACAGCAGTTAAAAACACAGAACTGGGCTGGGTTTGGTGGCTGACACCTGTAATTCCAGCACTTTGGGAGGCCAAGGCGGCCGGATCACTTGAGGTCAGGAGTTTGAGACCAGCCTGGCCAACATGGTGAAACCCTGTCTCTACTAAAAATACAAAAATTAGCAGAGAGTGGTGGCAGGCACCTGTAATCCCAGCTACTTGGTAGGCCGAGGCAGGAGAATCCCTTGAACCTCGGAGGCAGTGAGCCAAGATGGCGCCTCTCCTCTCCAGCCTGAGCAACAGAAAACACACACACACACACAGAACTGGGCCTGGCCCAGTGACTCACACCTATAATCCCAGCACTCTGGGAGACTGAGGCAGGAGGCTTCATTGAGACCAGGAGTTTGAGACCATCCTGGGCAACATAAGGAGACCATCTCTAAAAACACAAAAAATGAAATAAAAAACATGGCACTGGGCAAGCCACTGAAACTCCTGGAGCCTCAGTTTCCTGGTGAGTTAAATGGAGTTGACAAGACTTTCTCATCAGGTTGCCATGAGGATGAAATGGCAAAAATGTTCGGCCCAGCATATGGCATGCAGCACATGCTTAACACATGGCAGATGTGGGATCCGGGGCTCACACGGGGACGTCTCTGGG
Organism: Homo sapiens; assembly: GCF_000001405.40. Classification (NCBI taxonomy): domain Eukaryota; kingdom Metazoa; phylum Chordata; class Mammalia; order Primates; family Hominidae; genus Homo; species Homo sapiens. Next base: position 26,177,308 of record NC_000002.12, on the reverse strand, counting down.
ATGGGGCCACCAGACTCCCATCCCTCCCACACAGGGGACAGCAACCACACGCTCCTGGTGTAGTGCAGCAGACACCAGCCCTCAGTTGAGATACCTGGATCTGGCCAGGCTCTTCCTTTCCTAGATGTGTGACACGGGGCAAGTCACCTCCTCCCCCAAGCCTTCCGTTTCATCATCTGTAAAAGGAAGGGGCTGTACTCTGTTTTGGTAACAGAATCCTTTCTTCAAACAAAATCTTATTATATGTCAACGTCACGTATAAAACTAATAAAGGTAGTCCATTAGCATAATCTTTAGAAGTCTAAAATTTTTAATATTCACTTATAAAGTCAACCAATGGAAACAATAGGTTTAACGCAAAAATTGGGAAAAACAGGATCAGCGCGGAGAGGTGCAGCCATGTAACCAGCTTGGGCATTCGCTGGTTTCTGCGGTATTTGGTTGCGCGGTACAGAAAAGGTCCTGGCAGGACATGTTCTCTTGGAGGGTCTGCACAAAGATGGCTAAGCGTGGCAGCCGAAGGTATACCCTGAAGGCCTCTGATTAGGGTTAAGCTCTGATGTGTAGTAATTTAAGAGTGTGGGTATTTTTTAATCATTAGTTTCAAATCTACTTTAAAATAAAATGTGAATCAAAAAACCTGTGAGCCACCTCTCCAGAAACCCAGAGTGCCACAGAACAGAATGAAAACTGCTGGGCTCTGACTCCAACCCTAACCCTAATCACCGCCTCGCTAGTCCCAGCGTTCCCCCTACCCCTGGCCCCAGTCCCTCCTGCCTACACCCCCCTACAGGCTTTATGACATCTGTCCTGGCTGGACACACCTGGGTACTGCAGGGGGATGTCGATCTTGGGCCCGATGACATAGTGGCCCTCCTCCAGGGTATGAGCTGTCACCGTTGTCCACTGCCGGCAGGAGTGGATGAGCAGGATGTCTCGCTCACTGACGCCCTCGGCGTACTCCCCTGGGAAGGGGGAGGAGGACAGAGGATGAGGGGAAGGAAGACAGGACATTAGAAGGGGCAGAAAGAACAGATAGTGACGTCCTCACCAAGACCGCCCCCCTGAGGGACAGCTCCACACAATCCCTGTCCAGGTCAGCAAAGCTCAAGGGACAGGCGGGCTGCCAGCTGGGGCCTGGGGCTGTGGGGCTGGCTGTGAGCCTCTCAGGGCTGTGACTCCCGACGGGGCCCCTCGTTCATCAGTGGCTGGAATGCCTGCTGTCCCTGGCTCTGAGCTGGAGCAGGGGGAGCTCCCCATGGATGAGCCCAGACCAGCCCCTGCCCTCCAGGAGCCCTTAGGCCCCTGGGGAGGTGGGCAGAGATGTACCAGAGACTAGGCAAGTTTGAGGCACTGACTGGAGTATGTCTGGGGACCCGGAGGGCAGCAGTAGGCTCCAGCTGGGGGTGTGGTGGCGAAGGGAGACTTTATTGAGCAGGAGATGCTGGAGCTGTGCTTCCCAGTCAGGGCCTAGGCCCTGCAAGAAGGGCCCTACTGGGGCAGTGGAGAGGGCCCGGACGGGACTGTCCCTTATAAGGTCCCAGCTGTGAGAGCTCCCCCAGAGCCACGGGTCGCTCAGGTCAGGAGAATGACAGGGCTTAGAGCAGCTGATTACTGCCTCTCCCAAGGGCAGCCCTTCCTTTCCACCCACTGCCTTGTTCAGGGGACCTCGAAGGAGAGGGGGGGAGTCCCCAGAAACCCCCAACCCCATCTCAGAGAAGCCACCCACTGCCTTGTCAAGGGGACCTCGAAGGAGAGGGGGGAGTCCCCAGAAACCCCCAACCCCATCTCAGAGAAGCAGCTCCTTGACACCCCCTCCCCACGCCCCCTCATCCTCCCAGTTACAGGGGTGACGGCTGAGGGTTGGAGGGGTTGAGAGAGCAGGTTTAGAAGGCAGGAGTGGGAGGCCCAGCCCTGGGGCCTGGGGGAAGCTGCTCTGGGGCAGAGGTGTTGGGAGTTGGGAGGGGTCTGGGCCTGGAGGCGCCAACCCCAGCAACGGTTTCCAGGGGAGCAGGAGGGGCAGCCCAGCTTCCAGGAGGCAGAAGGGGCTGTGTCCGGGCTGCAGCTGGTGGGGAGGGTGGGGGTAGGGAGTACCTCCTTCCTTTCTCCTTCAGGCACAACTTACAAAATTTCTGCCAATCAAATGGGAAATGGTTTACTCTGATGGCTGGGGGCTCCATAAAATGTGTACATGTGGGGTAGGCGTGTGTGTGTATGTGTGTGTGTGTGTGTGGCAGGGTGGCGGGCGGTTCAAGACGCACAGGAAGGGCCTGGCCCCCACTATGTGTGTGTTGGGGGTGTTGTCTAAGCTTTCCCCTGTACCTCCTCACCTCCGGGGGCCCAAGAAGCTCTCCTCCAACTCTGCTCCCTCCTCTGAGAGCTGTCCTGGGTCCTAGCCCCATCTTCACAGCCACATGGGCACACAGCAGTAATCATGGCTCATGACCACCAACAGCTGAACCACAATAGCCCACAGTGACAGATGCTTGTCACCCAAACAACATAACTCAGTCTCCGGCCAAGGGGCCCCTCCCAAATGCACAGGCACACAGGGACCTACCCTTCAAGCCATACAATTCTGACCAGACATTCACACCCTGATGGTGACCCAGCCATAGCCACACACTGTCACACACAACAGACAGCTGGGCCATCACACCAGTTGTTCATTCACTCACCCATTCATTCAATCCATAATCTTTATTGGGCAAGGATGCCTGGTCTCAAGGAGCCCACAGCCAGGTCTAAAGACAATAAACTGACTGACCATTATAATGGGGTGCACAGTAGGAGACAAGCCAGAGTTGGCATGAGGTGGCCGGGGAGCCCAAAGGAGGCCCTACGCAGACCGAGGAGCTCAGAAAAGCTGCCCAGAAAGGGGAGATGCCAAAAAGGATGTGTGGGAAGTGGCCAGAAGACCCCAGGGCAGCGACCTCCATTCACAGGCAGACACAGTACCACACTCTGACCACTCGGCCGCGAGCCAGAGAACTAGACGCTGGCCTGCCCGACGGCGGGGCGCCGATGCTCCCCCATGAGCCTGCTCCCGGGACAGCTGACGCCCACTGTGCCCACTCCTGGCCGCCACGGAGGAGGGGCTGCCGGGCCCCACGGGGAGACGAGGAGCCTGCGGCCGCGGGCCCCATTAGCATTCATGGAAGCGAGTGTGCCAACGCGGGCCAAACCCCTATTCTTCTCACACACAAAACCCCCGGCCTGGCTGCCAGCCCCGGCTACCGCCCATCCCCCAACCAAGCAGCACCCCCCTCCCCCCAAACGGTCCCCTCGCTCCATGCAGCCTCCGGGCGTACCCTCTCGGGCCCCCATGCGTGGTTCCATCAGCCGAGCGGCTGGGGGCCCCAGGTCCTATTAAGAAGTGGGACAAGATTCGGGGGAGGGCCGGGAGTTTGGGGGTCACGCCGGGCAGCAGACCCGGCTCCCGCCGGCCTCTCCCGAAGGTGGCCTGCCCGCCCCAGGACCGAGGCTGCTCCTAGGGAAGAGAAAGGAGGTGCAAGAAGGGTCCCCAGAGGGGCGGAGCAGGACTAGGGGTGGCGGTAAGGGGAAGACAGAGTCCGGGTCCCAGGGATGAGGGAAGACAGAGGTGAGAGGCCAGGGACAAAGGGACCAAGGGGGCGCGGCCGGGGCGGGGGGCCCAGGGGCAGCGGGGGAAAGGGGGGCAACCGACGGGGCGGGAGCAGGGGCTCGGCCCCTTTCCGGACTCCAGCTGGGCGGGAAAACTCTGTCCCGGGCCCTGTCCCCGGTGTCTGTGCCTGTGCTTGTCCGCGGGGCCCAGGAGGCGGACCTGGCGGGTGGGCCCCGCGTCTCCCGGGAGGCGCGCCAGGAACCGCTCGGGGCCCACGCCGGGGAGCTGGGAGGGTGCGGGTGCCGCACCCTCCTCACGATCCCTCTGGCCCCTGGCTGGAGAGCCCACCATTTCCCCGCGGACCCCGGTCCCCATCTCCAGCGACCCCGGTACCTGGCCCAAGGCAGGCGAGCGTGGGCAGGCGGCAGCGGCTGACGATGAGGTCGAGCGGGAAGGCGCCCATGCTCCAGCGCAGGCCGGCCAGCCCGGCCGCCAGCTTCTCCATGGCATGGGCGCCCCGGGGCCGCCGTCCCGGGGCCCCGACGGTCAGTCCCGCGCGGCCCAGGCTCTCGCGCCCGCCGCCACCTCCCGGGGCCGCCGCGGCGCTCGCCGCCTGGCAGCCCCGCCGGGCCGCGGGCGTCACGTGGCCGGCCTCCCCGCAGGGCGCCGACCCCGGCCCCGCCCCCGGGCCCCGCCCCCTCCTCCCGGACCCCGGCCCCCTCCTCCCGGACCCCCGCCCCCTGCTCTGTCCGCCCCGACCCGGACTCGCCGCCGGACCCACCCCCGGACCTCCGCCCCCAGCCCTGTCCGCCCTGCCCCGCCCCGGCCCCCTCTCCTCGGACCCCGTCCCCGCGCCCCCTTCTGGGACCCCGGGTCCCCAGCCCCGCGCTCCGTCCGCCCGCCCCTGCCCCCGCTCCCCGGCCCCCACCCGCCGCTGCCGCCAAGCCCCGCCTCCCCTCCCGCCAGCTTCCCCGCGCCCAGGTGACGGCGGGTGATGGAGGACCCCAGGGCGGGCGCCTGGAGGGACAACGAAGTCCCGAGCGGCATCTGCGGAGTCGGCGCGGGGTCGGCCTCCTCCTTCTGGCTGGGTGTGTCCGGGCCCCGCCGCTCCCCCTCGTGCTGGCCTCCCGGAGGCCGCGCCCACCCGCGCCCTGTCCTGCTCCGCCGCCCAAAGCTCGGGTTCTGAATTCTGCTCTTCCAGGACCTTCATCACCTCCGGCTCCGTGGAGCTGGGCGAGGCAGCCTCCTTAACCCCATTTTACTGATGAGCAAACTGAGGGGCAGAGGTCAGGTGGCAGCCAGGACTTCAACCTAGGTTGGACTTCAACCCAGATTTGACTCCAACCCTACTGCCCAAGAGCACCCTACAGCGCCCCACCATAGAGCACCTTCCACGTTCCCAGCGCCCCCTTAGCCGATAGCCCTGTGTCATGTAAACCGGCGCTCCAACCCTTCCACAGCACGCGGTGTGGACTGCGTCCATTCTGCAGATGAGGAGGCCGAGGTTCGAGGGCGTAACCGGTGCTGCGGTCTCCTCTCGGATCATTACAAGAACCGCCTTCCTCCCCCACCGCCACCATCCCTTCTCTCTTTTCCTTCTCTTTTTTTGAGACTGGGTCTCACTCTATCACCCAGCCTGGAGTGCAGTGGCGCGATCTCGGCTCACTGCAACCCCCACCTCCCGGGCTCAAGCGATCCTCCCACCTCAGCCTGCGGAGTAGCTGGGATGACAGGCACCTGCCACCACTCCTGGCTAATTTTTTTGTATTTTTAGTAGAGACGGCGTTTCACCATGTTGGCCAGGCTGGTCTTGAACTCCTGACCTCAAGCGATCCTCCCGACTCGGCCTCCCAAAGTGCTGGACTTACAGGCGTAAGCCACCGCGCCCAGCCTTCGTTCCCTTCTTTTAATTTGCGTTTCCTTTTCTGCTGTCCTCACCTCTTCCTTCCAAGCCCCCTGGACTCCAGCTCGGGGCCTCCCTTTGGGACCCCCTTCCCAGAAGCTTAGATGGCCTCGGCCTCGGCCTCGCCCTCTCTGTGTCTGCGGCGCCCTCTGCAGGTAATTGGGGGATGATGCGGGCCTGGCTGATCTCGCGGAGCCAGCGGGCCTTAGTCCCTAGGCTGCTCCCTCACGGGAGTGTAGTGGCACGATCTCGGCTCACTGCAACCTCCGCCCCGCAGGTTCAAGCAATTCTCCTGCCTCAGCTTCCTGAGTAGCTGGAATTACATATGTAGCTGGGATTACAGACAAGCACCACCATGCCCGGCTAATTTTTCACCTGGCTAATTTTTGTATTTTTAGTAGAGACAGGGTTTCGCCATGTTGGCCAGGCTGGTCTCGAACTCCGAACTCAAGTGATCCACCCGCCTCGATCCATCAGTCCTCAGCCTCGGTACCCCCGGAAGAACCCCACCAAATACAAACAAAACCCTCTCTTCTGAGGTGACTGACACCTGGCATCTTATGGCTCGAACCCCATGAGAAATGGCAGCCGACAAGATGAACACCACTTCTCAGCGAGAAGAGACGTTTTAGATCAGTGGTTCAATCCTCAACTGCTGCAGAGGAAAAAACTGAGACTCCAAGAGCAGAAATGCTTTGCTCTAAGGTCACACGGCAAGAAAGAGGCAGCGCTGCGACCAGAAGGCAGGACCCCCACCTACCAACTTGACCGAGGCCCTTCCCCAGCCTGGCCCAAACCCAGCCCGCTCACCCTGGCCAGGGAGGAGCTGCTCACCCCGGTGACTCAGGCAGCCCAGATGGACTCCGCTCTCCTGAGTCTGTAGGGGTGGGGTGGGTTCTTTCCCAGGGAAGTGGGAAGGTGAAGCCTGGCAGGAGAAGAAAAGAAAATACAGTGAAAATATAGGAGTCTTAAGAAGGGAATGGGCCAGGCGCGGTGGCTCACACCTGTAATCTCAACAGTTTGGCAGGCCAAGGCAGGTGGATCACTTGAGGTCAGGAGTTCGAGACCAGCCTGGCCAACATGGTGAAACCCTGTCTCTACTAAAAATACAAAAATTATCCAGGCAAAAAATTAGCCGGGCATGGTGGTGCTTGTCTGCCACTCCAGGTACATCTGTAATCCCAGCTACTCAGGAAGCTGAGGCAGGAGAATTGCTTGAACCTGGGAGGCGGAGGTTGCAGTGAGCCGAGATCGTGCCACTACACTCCAGCCTGGGTGACAGAGCGAAACTCCATCTCAAAAAAAAAAAAAAAGAAAAGAAGGGAATGGAAGGTCTGAGACAGGAGGGCGAAAAGGCCGGAAGAAGCAAGTGAATGAGAAGGGTGCTGCCTTAGATTCACTTTTCTTCCCCTACCCTGTAGGGTCTCTCTTTAGGGTGACCGTGTGTCATCCTAACTGGGAGACTTTTAAGAGGGAAGCCGGTACTAACCACCTCCCCACCCAGCTAGGACAACAGGTGCAGGTAGCCTGGGCTCCAGACAGCAGGTATAAACTGGCATTGAGCCACGTGGTCACCTTCTCCCTGCGCCCTGGACAGAGACGCCACATCTACGGTGGCTTCTCTTACTCAGCATGGCCGGCTCTCCTCAGCTCCCGACCTCAACTTCCAGCTCTACCCCTTCGCCCCCAAAAGGCGTTCACAGCCACTTCCATTTCCACAATCACACTTGAACCGGGTCCCCTTTTATTTTCTATCCCAGCTGAGGACATCTCCTTTACCCTGGTCTCCCAACCTGGAAATCTTCTCCCTAACCTTTATACCAAACTAGTCACCAAGTGCTGGCAATTCCTCTTCCACCAGGTGTCATGGAGCCCCAGCCTCCTCTTCCCAGGAGCTCCAGTCCCAGCCAGGCTTTCGTTCACAGTTTGGATCTTCTCTCCCCCAGGCAACCTGCCTATTTCACACCCAAAACCTATAACCCTGGATTTCGGCTGAGTTAGGGGCAACACCGCTGTGAGACACCAGGCAGATTCACCTAACTAAATGGACCCACCTCCTCACTGTTGCAGAATATTCCAGAGCCTTTCCAGGGCTTCTTAACTGTTGTCAAGTCTCCAGGGACCTGACACAAGTGTCCAGACACATACATCACTTGATTTGCTGAGGCTCAGGAGTCCTGCAGGAAGGAACTCAGCTTCTCTTGGAGGCAGAAATGTTTAGATCTTTCCTTGGACTGAGATTGCAGGAAGGAGAGCCAAGAGGGCACCAAGAGGGAGGAAGATGCTGGGCAGAGAGGCCAGGCTGTGTGGCTTGGTGTGGCCGTGGGAGAATCTGGGGCCTAGGTGCTGTGTGTGGCTGGGCCTGTGCTTCCCGCTCCAGGAGAGTCAGCTGGGGGAAAGAGAGGGAGGAGGAACAGAAGAAAGAGCCCAGCCAAGGGGATCCCAGCTCCTCTGCAGTGGGCTCCACTCTGACAGCGCTGGCAGTGACAAGTAGAAGGTGGAGCCTGGCCCAGCATAGTATCCCACCACTATGGGAGGCTGAGGCGGGCAGATCACTTGAGCCCAGGAGTTTGAGACTAGGCCGGCAACATAGTGAAACTCTGTCTCTACAAAAAATACAAAAACTAGCCAGGCATGGTGGTGTGCTCCTGTGGTCCCAACTACTCGGGAGGCGGAGGCAGGAGGATCACTTGAGCCCAGGAGGTTGAGGCTGCAATGAGCTGTGATCATGCCACTGCACTCCAGCCTGGGTGATGGGGCAAGACACTGTCTCAAAAATAAAAAAAATTTTAAGAAGGAGAGCCCTATTGGCTGGAGGGGAGGAAAAAGTAGGGAGGGGTCACAGCCCTACCAGAGGCCCAGTGTTGACCCAGAGGCCAGGCTGTGGCAGAGGCTGGCCAGGCTGCCCGTGAGCGGAGCATAGAGGTCAATGGAGTAGAGGCAGGGAAAGCTGCCCACAGCAGCTAGGGTTATTATTTATAAAGTACCCTGCCCCACCCCATCTAGAGGACAGATGGCCTTTTCTGGGATCATGAACTGGGCGAGGCCAGGAAACATTTAGGAAAGCACCTATGAGAAATTTAGGTAATATTGTATTTAACTTTTTATTTCAGAACATTCTAAATGTAGACACAACTAGAGATAATAGCATGTGACTTCCCGTGTGCTCATCTTCCAGCTTTAGCACCTACCAACCCACGGCTGATCTGATTTTTGTGTACCTGCTTACAACCCTTCCTCACTGGATAAAAAAAAAAAAGTTTTCTTTTTTTTTTTTTTTTCATTTTAGAGACAGGGTCTTCCCTCCGTCACCCATCTTGGAGTGTTAAAAACAACTTTATTGAAATATAATTCACATACTATACAATTCACCCATCTAAAGTTTACCATTTAGTGTTTTTAGTATTCATCGTATCTTGCAAACATCATTACAATCTAGTTTTCTTTTTGTTTTTCTATTTTATTTTTGAGACAGTCTTACCATGTCACCCTGGCTAGAGTACAATGGCACAATCTCAGCTCACTGCGACCTCTGCCTCCCAGGTTCAAGCCTCAGCCTCCCAAGTAGCTGGGATTACAGGTGCCCACCACCATGCCTGGCTAATTTTTGTATTATTTAGTAGAGACAGGGTTTCACCATGTTGGCCAGGCTGGTCTTGAACCCCTACCTCAGGTGATCTGCCTGCCTCGGCCTCCCAAAGTGCTGGGATTACAGGCGTGAGCCACCGCACCTGGCCTTTCTTTGTATTTTTTAAAAGAGGGTCTTACTATACTTCCCAGGCTGGTCTTGAACTCCTGGGCTCAAACAATCCTCCCAAGTGGGTGGGACTACAGGTATGGGCCACTGAGCCCAGTATTTTATCTTTAAATATCTCTATATCTACCTCTAAAGATAGAAACTTTTTTTTTTTAATGGTGTCTTGCTATTTTGCCAGGCTAGGCTGGAACCTGAGACCCTCCCACCTCAGCTTACTGAGTAGCTAGAACTACAGGCATGGGCCACCATGCCCAGCTTAGAAACTTTTTTTTTTTTACATTATAACCACAGTAATATTTCACAACTAAAAACCCAACAATCAGCCACGTGTAGGCATAGTGGCTCATGCCTGTAATCCCAGCACTTTGAGAGGACAAGGCAGGTAAATCACTTGAGGTCAGGGGTTCAAGAGCAGCCTGACCAACATGGTGAAACCCCGTCTATACTAAAAATGCAAAAATAAATTAGCCGGGCATGGTGGTGCATGCCTGTAATCCCAGCTACTTGGGAAGCTGAGGCAGGAGAATCACTTGAACCTGGGATGTGAAAGTTGCAGTGAGCCAAGATCATGCCATTACACTCCAGCCTGGGCGACAGGGCTAGACTCCATCTCAAAAAAAAAAAAAAAAGAAACTGGATCATTACTCTTATAGTGTTTCCTACAGTCTGCATTTTGTTAATTCCATCCCTTAGCTAATTGTCAAAATTTCAGGAATTTTGCAAGTAGATTATTAAAGACAGCCACTATTTTAAATTAGGGTAGCTTAACATGTTGCTCTTTCTTCTGGTTTTCTTTACATTGGTAATAGAATGTAGTGACTTAAAATTCAGATTGAGTTTTATTTTTTGACATAACATGTCATAGGAGATGGTGTTTCTTCCATCAGGATCAGGATGCACATAATGTCAGGTTGTTTCTCTTCTTGTGATGTCAGCGATCTGTTGATCATTGGTTATGCTTTCCTTTAAAGCTGTCTAGCTGGGGCCAGGCATGGTGGCTCATGCCTATAATCCCAGCACTTTGGGAGGCCGAGGCAGGTGGATCACCTGAGGTCAGGAGTTCGAGACCAGCCTGGCCAACATGGTGAAACCCCATCTCTACTAAAAATACAAAAAATTAGCTGGGCATGGTGGCGGGTGCCTATAATCCCAGCTACTTGGGAGGCTAAGGCAGGAGAATCGCTTGAACCTGGGAGGTAGAGGTTCCAGTGAGCTGAGATTACACCATTGCACTCCAGCCTGGACAGCAAGAGTGAAACTCCATCTCAAAAAAAAAAAAAAAAAAAAAAAAAAAAGCTGTCTAGCCAGGCATGGTGACTCACGCCTGAAATCCCAGCACTTTGGGAGGCTGAGCGGGTTGATCACTTGAGCCCAAGAGTTTGAGACCAGCCTGGGCAACATGGTAAAACTCTGCCTCTACAAAAACTACAAAAATTAGCCAGGTGGTGGTACCTGCCTATAGTTCCGGCTACTCGGGAGGCTGAGGTGGGAGGATCACCTGAGCCTAGGAGGTCAAGGCTGCAGGGAGCCATGATGGTGCCTCTGCACTCCAGCCTGGGCAACAGAGTGAGACCCTGTCTCATAAAACAAACAAATAAAACAGTCTAATTCCCCAAGATAAATCAGATTAATCTCTCCTCAGGTGAGATTAATCAGTGGTGCATGTCACACCACTGCCATAACACTTATTATACTACATTTTAGTCATTTACTTGTATACACCTCCCCAGACACCATGTCTATCCTTGTAGGAGAATAGATATGTATCTATTCCAAATTGATTCCCCACAAGGACTAATGTGGTGCCTGGTTAACTGCAGGCATCGGCAGATGAGGCAAAGTGGCCTATGACTGAAAGGATGATTGACTGTGCAAGTTACTTGCCCAGTGGTGGCAAAAGCTAATTGTCAGGCCGGGCGTAGTGGCTCACATCTGTAACCCCAGCACTTTGGGAAGCCGAGGCGGGTGGATCACTTGAGCCCAGGAGTTCAAGACCAGCCTGGCCAAGATGGCGAAACCCCGTCTCTACTAAAAATACAAAAATTAGCTGGGTATGGTGGCACCCACCTGTAATCCCAGCTACTTGGGAGGCTGAGGCACAAGAATCACTTGAACGCGGGAGGCAGAGGTTGCAGTGCAGAGACCATACCACTGCAGTCCAGCCTGGGTGACAGAGTGAGACTCTGTCTCAAAATAGATAAATAAATAAATAGTAATTTTAAAAAAAGCTAATTGTCAAAATTTCAGGAATTTTGCAAGTAGATTATTAAAGATAGCCATTATTTTAAATTAAATTATAAAAAGTTACAAGCAAATTATATGACGACCATAATAAATATTTGACTCATCATTTCCTCATTATTTTATTACATTCTATTCTTTTCTTTTCTTTTTCGAGACAGAGTCTTGCTGTGTTGCCCAGGCTGGAGTGCAGTGGCCCGGTCATGGCTCACTGCAGCCTTGACCTCCTGGGCTCAAGCAGTCCTCCCACCTCAGCCTCCCAAAGTGCTGGGATGACAGCTGGGCTACTGCGCCAGGCCCATTTTACTATTTTCTATGCTCTTGGGGTTATTTATGTCCATCATATCTGCACAGTAGAAAAACTATATAATGTTGTGCTACTATCCATTTCTTCCCAGCTCTGTGTCCAGGGATAGCATGTTGATGGCTTGAAACTGACCATGGTGGGTGTATTTACACTACAGAAATTGGCAAATCTTACGAATCAGGACTCTTTTTTTTTTTTTTCTGGAGTGTGGTTGTAAAACATTTGCCAGCACACCACTGTCTCTCGTTGTAAAATAGGAATTAAGAGTCCTCATAGCTGGGTGCAGTGGCTCATGCCTATAATCCTAGTACTTTGGGAGGCTGAGGCAGGTGGATCGCTTGAGCCCAGGAGTTCCAGACCAGCCTGGGCAACATAGCGAGACCCTATCTCTAAAAAAATATATATATATACTAGTTAAGTGTAGTGGTGCAAGCTTGTGTTCCAGTTACTTGGGAGGCTGAGGTGGGAGGATCACTTGAGCCAGGGAGGTCGAGGCTGCAGTGAGTCAAGGCTCTGTCAGCCTGGGCAACAGAGCGAGATCCTGTCTCAAAAAATTAAAAAAAGAGAGAGAGAGAAAGAAAGAAAGAATGGTAGCACTGGGCCTCACAGCCCAGCTGTTCCCCACTGGAGCAAAGTCTTACTGGGCAGAGTCCCTGGGAAACGGGTCAAGATGCGAGTTTGTGGGGATGGCGGGTCCTACACAGCAGGGCACAGCCAGCTGGCCACCTCAGAGGTCACCCAGGGAGGTGACCACTGTGCCCTCATTCACCCTAAGTTTCTTTGCTGAGAGAAAGTCTTTCACTACATCTTTATTTCAAATGTAGGCATTTATTACTTGCACCGAACATACATAACCTACCTTTTGATTTGTTTGGAGTTGTCTTTCATTTCATTCACAATCAGTAAGTAATTTCCATGGATACAGTTTCAACATTTTGTTCAAACTGTATTTTCTATTCTCCTCCAGGTTCTCTTTTACAAGATTAAAGATTAGACAGTGTATGGGGCATATGATTGAGGTAATTATTTACCCCACTGAGCAACTCTGGCTGGACATTGTACAGACTCAGAATTGTGACTGTGTCCTCAGATGGCTGTCAGCTGATGTCCTCGGGTTGGCAGCAGGGTTTGTAGTTACAATACCATGGCAGTTGCCTGAAATGGGCAACAGAAATAGGTCCCAGTTATATAAGGAATCAGTATGTCAACTCCTAGGACTTGCTGCCACCTTCAAAACATCAGGTCTTAAATCTGGAGAAGGAGGTTATACCATGCTTTTGGAGCCATGAATATTATCCAAGTCCATTATTTTTAAGCAAATAATGCATGTTTAGCCAAAAGAAATAAAACCTTTGTCTCGAAATAGTATTTTAAACTTAAGGGAAAATGTCATAAATTATAATGTTTCATTATATTCATTACTCTAAATTTTATTTACTTTAATTTAATTAATTTTTATTTTTTTAGAGATGAGGTTCACTTTGTTGCCCAGGCTGACCTTGAACTCCTGGTCTCAAACAATCCTCCTGCCTCGGCCTCCCAGGGAGCTGAGACTACAGGCACTCACCCCTGCACCTGGTTCATTCTATATTTTTAGTTTTGTAAAACTGATTTTAATTAAGCTCTGTAATCACTAAGACATTTTTGTTTGTTTGCAATTTCAACCATCGATGACATTTTATTTTAGAAGTTTCTATGTATTACATAGGTATTATATTAACTTTCTTCCTCTTCTACTCCTCCCTCCAAAATCCAGAAAGAATAAAAAAAAGTCCAACAACTTAATGTATAAAAATCTCATATCTAATTTCTCTAAAGTCTTAGGTTAAGAAAACTTAAGTGACACCTCTCCTTTTTGAGAGTACTAATTTTACGGAGAATTCATAGTCTGTCCTTGTGCTCACTACAGATTTCCCTCTTCTCTGGGACAAAGATGGTCAATTCTTCTGCTTCCTTTTAATAAATTCATTTTTTGATTATTACACATTATTATTCCCCACTTCTTAGAAACTTGATTTTTGGATATGTTTTTCATTTGGCAAAAAGTCAGTGTGGCTTTGCGTGGGATGTCTAGGTGTCAGAAACAGCAGGGTTGATGTTCTGGCTTTTGTGGGTTTTTTTTTTTCTTTTTCTTTTTTTGAGACGAATTCTTGCTCTGTCGCCCAGGTTGGAGTGCAGTGGCTCAATCTTGGCTCACTGCAACCTCCGCCTCCCAGGTTCAAGGGATTCTCCGGCCTCAGCCTCCCCAGTAGCTCGAACTACAGGCATGCACCACCATGTCTGGCTAATTTTAGTATTTTTAGTAGAGACCGGGTTATACCATGTTGGCCAGGCTGGTCTTTAACTCCTAAGCCCAGGTGATCCGCCCACCTCGGCCTCCCAAAGTGCTGGGATTATAGGCGTGAGCCACCGTGCCCGGCAGATGTTCTGGTTTTGAGAGGGAAAATATAGAGACAGATGCATACATCCCCTAGAAGAACAAACATAGGAGACTGAAATATAGTGTGCACAAAGTTAAGAGGGCTGATAGACACTGCCACTACTTGGTTTTGAATTCTGTGACTGTCAGCCATCAAAGACTGCAGTGTAGGCCAGAATATAAATCAGGAAGAAGTTTGGTTAGGCAAAAACACTGAGAAATGACAGCGTCTGCTGCATTTTGTTCCAAGAATATCAGAGCAGCCAGGCACAAGGAGCATTATGGGTCATGTGCAGTAAGTAGTAACCTATGGATAAACAGGGGCATCTGTGCAAATGCTCTGTCAACCTAGGCAATGGGGGAAGAGAAAAGAAGCATCCTATTAAAATGCACTTCCATCCCTAACTCACCTTAGGATGCAGGCTTCCTAAGCATCGTGATTTGCAAGGCCAAAGTGAAATTTAGCATTACATGTCATTCTAGGTCATTGGGAAGCTGGTTCACTGGGGACATCTCAGAAGACCTGCTCAAGAGAGCAGCAAGTCTACCCAGAAGGGTATGCCTTAATGATCTTCACAGCGTTCACGGGGCGGTCCTGGGAGTTTGTTTCTACCATTCCTACTCGATTCACCATTCCTATCCCCTGGCACACTTGGCCAAAAATGGTGTGTTTGCTGTCGATCCACTGGGTGGGTGCGAGGGTCACAAAGAACTGGCTGCCATTGGTGTCTGGCCCTGCATTGGCCATTGCGAGAATTCCAGGCCCCGTGAATTTCAAGTCTGGATGCAGCTCATCTTCAAACTGTTTGCCATAGATAAATGCACCACCTCAACCTGTCCCTGTTGGGTCACCTTTTTGGATCATGAAATCCTCGATGATTCTGTGGAATTTTGTGCCACTGTAGTAACCTCGACGAGTCATCTCAGCAGTTCTTACAGGTCTTTGGAGCATGCTTCCGATACAGCTCCGGTACAATTATTCCCATGCTGGTCTCCAAGTAAACACTGGGTGGCTGCCAGGAGTCTGGAGGAAGTGCCGCCATAGTGAAGTGGGCAGAATGCTTCTCTAGCAACTGCTACTTCTGGCATCGATTATCTGGGGACCCCTGCTGCTGCTGAGCACACCTCCAGTCCCCACCATTCAACCCTTTCAATGGCAGGATTTAGGGGGCCGGGACAAGGAAGAGGACGGTCCCTTCTTCCAATACCAGGAAGCTAAGGTGCCAGGCGAGAAGAAGCTGGGCGCAAGAACAAAAATGCATGCTTCATTCTAAGACATTTTTAAACTGAAGCTTTATTATCCTTTTCATCTCTTCCTATTTATTTATTTATTTTATTTTTTTGAGACAGAGTCTTACTCTGTCGCCCCAGCTGGAGCGATCTTGGCTCACTGCAACCTTTGCCTCCCAGGTTCAAGCAATTCTCATGCCTTAGCCCCCAGGTAGCTGGGATTACAGGCGTGCACCACCACGCCCAGCTAATGTTTGTATTTAGTAGAGATGGGGTTTCACCATGTTGGCCAGACAGGTCTCGAACTCCTGACCTCAAGTGATCCACCCGCCTTGGCCTCCCAAAGTGCTGGGATTACAGGCATGTGCCACTGCACCCAGCCCATCTCTTGCTTTTTAAATGGTGTTCTTTACTTTCAAAACATGGCAAGTTTCAGAATCCTTTAAAAATTACTTTATTCGGGTTGGGCATGGTGGCTCACGCCTGTAATCCCAGCACTTTGGGAGGCTGAGGTGGTCTGACCAACATGGCGAAACCCCATCTCTACTAAAAATGCAAAATTAGCCAGACATGGTGGTGGGTGCCTGTAATCCCAGCTACTCGGGAGGCTGAGGCAGGAGAATCGCTTGAACCCAGGAAGCAGAGGTTACAGTGGGCCGAGATCATGCCACTGCACTCCAGCCTGGGCAACAGAGCGAGACTCTGTCTCAAAAAAAAAAAAATTATTCAAACTGTTTCCCAAAAGAGAGGTTTTGTGTCAGTGGTCTTTCACACCATTTCAGAATCACACTTGCCTGAACATCTCAGATGGACTTGGTGTCATCTGGGCTTAAGTGACTGCAAATGATGGAGTAAAACTGTAGAAATAGGCCGGGCGAGGTGGCTCACACCTGTAATCCCAGCACTTTGGGAGGCCGAGGCAGGCGGATCCCAAGGTCAGGAGATCGAGACCATCCTGGCTAACACAGTGAAACCCCGTCTCTACTAAAAATACAAAAAATTAGCTGGGCGTGGTGGCGGGCGCCTATAGTTCCAGCTACTTGGGAGGCTGAGGTAGGAGAATGGTGTGAACCCGGGAGGCGGAGCTTGCAATGAGCCGAGATCGCGCCACTGCACTCCAGCCTGGGCAACAGAGCGAGACTGTCTCACAAAAAAAAAAAAAACAAAAAAAACAAAAAAATAAAACCGGTTGAAATAATCCAACATCTTTTCTGTGAGCCAAGTCAATAATTAGCTGGGGATCCAACAGCTTTGCCTTTGTCGCCTGAAACAGATTGTCCAACAATTCCCCTGAAATTCCAATCTGTGCAATAAGACAAATACATCAATGGAGTAGAATAGAGACCTCGGAAATAGATCCACACAAATATAGTCAACTGATCTCTGACAAAGGAGGAGAGGCAATTCAATGGAAAAAGCACAGTCTTTTTCAACAAATGGTTCCAGAACAATTGGACATACATATAACAAAAAAACTAATCTAGACACAGACCTTACATCCTTCACAAGAATTATTTCAAAATGGATCATAGACCTAAATGTAAAATATAAAATAATAGCACTCCTAGAGAATAACACAAGAGAAAATCTAGGTGACCTTGGGTTGGGTGACAACTTACTTTAAGATAAACACCAAAAGCACTCCTCTGCCAATCTGAGCAATAGATAGACCTGGATAATATGCATGGCTCCAAAAGCGTGGTGTAGCTTCCTTCTCCAGATTTAAGACCTGATGTCTTGAAGATGGCAGCAAATCCTAGGAGTTGACACACTGGCATTCCACTGGAATCAGAACAGGAAAAGGAGCGAGATCCCCTAGTTCCTGGGGAAATAGAGTTGTTCCCAGCACAAAACCATAGCATAATTGGTACTTTTTTTTTTTTTGAGACAGTCTCACTGGCTTTGTCACCTAGGCTGGAGTGCAGTGGCGCGATCTCAGCTCACTGCAGCCTTCGCCTCCTGGGTTCAAGCGATTCTCCTGCCTCAGCCTCCCGAGTGGCTGGGATTACAGTCATGCACCACCACGCCTGGCTCACTTTCTTTAAAATTATTTTTAGTAGAGATGGGGTTTCACCATGTTGGCCAGGCTGGTCTTGAACCCCTGGCCTCAGGTGATCCGCCCACCAAGGAGTTTCCAGAAGTTGTGGGAAAGCCCCCACCCAGTCACCTACAGAGTGACTGAACAACTGATGGGAACGCCTTCATGGTCAATTGGATTATCTTTCATGTTATGGTCCTGACCTCACTAGTAAACCCAGTGTAAACTCAAAACTCACTGTGAAATCACTATTACATGACATGAGAATCTCTACTTTTTAATCAAATTACAGATTTCAATTTATTTGTATTGTCAGTGGAATCTTTTCTTCTTTTTCTTTTTTTTATTTTTTATTTTTATTTTTATTTTTATTTTTTTTGAGTCAAAGTCTTGCTCTGTCCCCCAGGCTGGAGTGCAGTGGCACAATCTCGGCTCACTGCAACCTTCACCTCCCAAGTTCAAGCGATTCTCCTGCCTCAGCCTCCCAAGTAGCTGGGATTACAGACTCGTGCCACCACGCCCGGCTAATTTTTGTATTTTTAGTAGAGACAGGGTTTCACCATGTTGGCCAGACTTGTTTCGAACTGCTGACTTCAAGTGATCCACCCACTTTGGCCTCCCCAAGAGTTGGGATTATAGGCAGGAGTCACTGCACCCGGCCAGTCAGTGGAATCTTATTAAGTCAAATTGTTACAGTAGGTAGCTAGTCAGGTATGAGCAGCGCCGGAGAGTGCTCCCCACCAACACATAGACCAGGCGTGTTGGGAGACCTGTCAGGTGATGGTCAGGTGGTTGTTAACTGTTTCTCTTTTTTTTTTTTTTTTTTTGAGACAGGGTCTTGCTCTGTCACCCAGGCTGGAGGGCAGTGGCATGATCTCGGCTCACTGCAACCTCTGCCTCCTGGGTTCAAGCGACTCTCCTGCCTCAGTCTCCCAAGTAGCTGGGACTACAGGCCCGCGCCACCAAGCCTGACTAATTTTTGCATTTTTAGTAGAGATGGTGGGGGGAGGTGTCACTATGTTGGCCAGGCTGGTCTTGAACTCCTGGCCTCAGGTGATCCGCCCTTCTCGGCCTCCCAAAGTGCTGGGATTACAGGCATGAGCCACTGTGCCCGGCCACCTGTTTCTCTAAAGTAATAATTCGTCACAGCTGGTGCCAGGGAAGGACAGTTTCCTAATAGATAGAAAATACCTGAAACTGATCAGCAGCTTCCCAGTAAGATCTCAGGAATGGGGAGAAGTTATAATGCAAGATCCCGGAAGTATGCCAATATATAAAGCCCCAAGTCCAGAGGTCAAGCTGCACACTGGTTTCTCAGGTCATCCCACTTCCCTCTTCCAAGTTGTATTTTCCTTCTTTTTTTTCCCTTTCCTTCCTTTCCTTACTGTTCTAAAGCTTTTTAATAAACTTCCACTCCTGCTCTGAAACATGCCTCTGTCTCTTCTGCCCTATGCCCCTCGGTTGAATTCTTTCTTCCAAGGAGGCAAGAATTAAGGTTGCCGCAGATCCGTACAGATTCACCGTGGGTAACTCCAGGTAACTCAGATATCTTCCATCAGTAACGAAACTGTTTAATTTACTAATGAACCATTGATTAAATTATGTAACACTATTTTTTAAAATCGAGGTAACATTCACATAAATTTACATTCACAACAAATTTAAACTTCATCATTTAAGAATTTAAAATTTAGGCTAAGCACAGTGGCTCATGCCTGTAATTTTAACACTTTGAGACAGGAGGCTGAGACAGGAAGATTGCTTGAGGCCAGGAGTTTGAGACCAGGCTTGGCAATATAGCAAGACCTTGTCTCTACAAAAAATAGAAAAATTAGCCAGGTGTGGTGGTACATACCTGTAGTCCCAGCTACTAGGGAGGCTGAGGCAGGAGGATCACTTGAGCCCAAAAGTTCGAAGTTACAGTGAGCTATGATCAAGCCACTTCACTCCAGCCTGGGCGAAAGGGAGAGACCCTATCTCTGAAAAAAAAAAAAAAAAAAAAAAAAGGACAATTCAGTGGCATTTAGTACATTTGCAATGTTGTGCAATCATCCTCACTAGTTCCAGGACATTTTCATCACCTAAAAGGAAATTCCGCGCCCATTAAGCAGTCACTCCCCATTTCAATCCTCAGCCCTCGCAACCACTGATTTGTTTCCTGTCTCTATAGATGTACCTCTTCTGGCTATTTCATATGATGGAATCATATAACAAGTGGCCTTTTGTGTCTGGCTTCACTCATTTACCATAATGTTTTCCATGTTCATCTATAATGTAGTGTGTATCAATACTATGTTACTTTTTATGACTGAATAATATTCCAAAGTATGGATATACCATATGTGTTATCCTTTCAGCAGTTGACGGACAGTTGAGTTGTTCTACCTTTTGACTATTGTGAATAGTGCTGGTAAGAACATTCTTGTACAAGTTTTTGTTTAAATACCTGTTTTCAGTTCTTCTGGGTAAATACCTAGGAGTGGAACTGCTGGGTTGTTTGGTAATTCTATGTTAGACTTACTGAGGAATCATCAAACTGTTTTCCACAGTAGTAGTTGAACAATTTCACATTCCCATCAGCAACATATGAGGGTTCCAGTTTCTCCGTATCTCCATCAACACTTGTTGTCTTCCGTTTTTTTGTTGTTGTTGTTAGACCAAGTCTTGCTCTGTTCCCCAGGCTGGAGTGCAGTGTGCGATCTTGGCTTGCTGCAAGCTCTGCCTCCCGGGTTCACACCATTCTCCTGCCTCAGCCTCCCGAGTAGCTGGGACTACAGGCGCCCGCCACCACACCTGGCTAATTTTTTTGTATTTTTAGTAGAGACGGGGTTTCACCGTGTTAGCCAGGATGGTCTCGATCTCCTGACCTCGTGATCCGCCCGCCTTGGCCTCCCAAAGTGCTGGGATTACAGGCGTGAGCCACCGCGCCCAGCCTGTCTTCTGGTTTCTAATTTACAGTTTGCCTGTTTGTTGGTTTGGCTTTGTTATAGCCGTCCTAATGGGAGTGAAGTGGTCTCTCACTGTAATTTTGATTTGCATTTCCTTAATGACCAATGATATAGAACATATTTTCATGTGCTTTTTGGCCCTTTGTCTATCTTCCTTAGAAATGTCTATTTAAAACTTTTGCCTTGTGTTTTGTTCTTTGTCTTTTTTAAATTTTTAAAATTTTTTCTTTGTCAATTTTTAAAAATTGTGGGCCGATTGCAGTGGCTCACGCTTGCAATCCCAGCACTTTGGGAGGCCAAGGTGGGCAGATCACTTGAGCTCAGGACTTCCAGACCAGCCTGGGCAACACAGCAAAACCCTGTCTCTACTAAAAATGCAAAAATTAGCCAGGCATGGTGGCAGGCACCTGTAATCCCAGATACTTGGGAGGCTGAGGCAGGAGAATCCCTTGAACTCAGGAGGCAGAGATTGCAGTGAGCCGAGATCGTGCCACTGCACTCCAGCCTGGGCAACAGAGCAAACTCTGTCTCAAATAAATAAATAAATAATAAAATAAAAAAATATGGTAAAAAGTACAAAATTTTAACCTGATAATTTATTTATGTATTTAAATTTTATTTTAGTGGGGACAGGGTCTTGCTCTGTCACCCAGGTTGGAGTACAGTGGCGTGATCATGGCTCACTGAAGCCTCGGCCTCCTGGGGTCAAGCAATCCTCCTGCCTTAGCCTCCCGTACAGGCATGTGCCACCACACCTAGCTAATCTTTTCTTTTTCTTTTTCTTTCTTTCTTTTTTTCTTTTGTAGAGACAGAGTCTCACTGTGTTGCCCAGGCTGATCTCTAACTCCTGGCTCAAGCAATCCTCCCACCTCAGCCTCCCAAAGTGCTGGGATTATAGGCATGAGCCACTGTGCCCAGCCTACCCTCTTAATTTTTAAGTGTACAGTACAGTATTGTTAATTAAATGCATATTGTTGTACAATAGATATCTAGAACTTTTCCATCTTGTATGACTGAAACTCTGTGCCCATGAACAACTCCCCATTCCCTTCCCCCCAGCCCCTGGCCACCATTCTGCTTTTGATTTTGACTTTCATTACATTAGATGCCTCATATAAGTGGAATCATGCAATATTTGTCTTTTTTTTTTTTTTTTTTTTTTTTTGAGACGGAGTTTGACTCTTGTTGCCCAGGCTGGAGTGCAATGGTGCGATCTTGGCTCACCAAAACCTCCTCCTCCCAGGTTCAAGCAATTCTCCTGTCTCAGCCTCCCAAGTAACTGGGATTACAGGCATGTGCCACCACACCCAACCAATTTTGTATTTTTAGTAGAGACGGGGTTTCACCATGTTGGCCAGGCTAGTCTTGAACTCCTGACCTCAGGTGATCTGCCCACCTCAGCCTCCCAAAGTGCAGGGATTACAGGTATAAGCCACCACGCCTGGCTATTTGTCTTTTTGTGATTGGCTTATTTCATCTAGCATACTGTCCTCAAGGTATGTCATCCATGTGGTAGCATGTGACAGGATTTCTTTCTATTTTGAGGCTGAATAATATTCCATTGTAATGTACATAACACATTTTTTAAATCCATTCCTTCATTGATAGACATTTAGGTTGTTTCCACATATCAGCTATTGTGAATAATGTTGCAGTGAACATAGATGTGCAAATATCTGCTGTTTACAATCCTTTTGGCTATATATCCAGAATTTGGATTGCTGGATCATATGGTAATTCTATTTTTAATTTTTTGAGAAACCGCTGTACTGTTTTCCATAGCAAATGCACCATTTAGAATCCCACAAACAACGCGCAAGGATTCCTATTACTCCACATGCTCTCCAACACTTATTATTTTCTGTTTTTTTTTTCCTTTTTTATAGTGAGCCTCTTAATGGATGAGGTGGTATCTCATTGTGGTTCTGATTTGCATTTCCCTGATGATTAGTGATGTTGAGCATCTTTTCTTGTGTTTGTTGACCATCTGTATGTTTTCTGTGGAGAAATGTCTATTCAAGTCTGTTGCCCAATTTAAAATAAGATTATTTAGTTTTGTACTATTGAGTTACAGGAGCTCTTTATATATTCTGGATATTATTCCCTTATCTGATATATGGTTTACAAATATTTTCCTCCCATTCTGTAGGTTGCTTTTTCACTCTTTTGATTGTTTGCTGTGTGAAAGTTTTTAAGTTTGATGTAGTTCAATTTGTCCTATTTTGCTTTTGTTATCTGTGCTTTTGGTGTCATATCCAAGAAAGCATTGCCAAGTCCAATGTCACGAAGATTTTTCCCCTATGTTTTCTTCTAGGAGTTTTATAATTTTAGGTCTATATTTAGGCCTTTATTCTGGATTAATTTTTGTATATAGTATACGATAAGGATTCATCATTCTTTTGCATGTGGATATCCAATTTTCCCAGCACCATTTATTGAAGAGGCTAATCTTTCCTCATTGTGTAGCTTTGGCACCCTTGTCAAAGATTCTTTGACCATATAACATGAGGCTTTATTTCTGGGCTCTCTATTCTGTTCCATTGGTCTATATGTCTGTCTTTATGCCAATACCATACTATTTTGATTACTGTAGCTTTGTAGTAAGTTTTAAAATCAGGAAGTAGGTGTAAATCCTCCAACTTTGTAATTCTTTTGGCTGTTCTGGGTCCTTTGATATTACTCATGAATTTTAATTTTTTTTTCTATTTATCAAAAAAATGCCATGGGGATTTTTGAGAGGGGTTGCATTGAATTTGTAGAGTACTTTGAGTAGTATGGACAGTTTAACAATATTAAGTCTTCTAACCCATGAATATGGGATGTCTTTCCATTTATTTGTCTTTTTAAATTTCTTTCAGCAATGCTTTGTAGTATTCAGTTACAAGTCTTTCACCTCCTTGGTTAAGTTTATTCCTAAGTATTTTATTATTTTTGATGCTATTGTAAATTGTTTTGTTTTCTTAATTTCCTATTCAGATTATTCATTGTTAGCATATAGAAATACAAATGACTATTTTGTATACAAGTGTTTATTTTGTATCCTGCAACTTTACTGAATTTGTACGTTAGCTCTAACAGTTATTTTGTTAGAATCTTTTGTGGAATCTTTAGGGTTTTCCACATTTAAGAGCATGTCATCTGTGAATAAAGATAATTTTACTTCTTCCTTTCTAATTTGGATGCCTTTTATTTCTTTTCTTGTCTAATTGCTCTGGCTAGGACTTCCAGTACTATGTTGAATAGAAGAAGCCAAAGTGGGCATCTTTGCCTTATTCCAGATCTTAAATTTTCCTTTAAGAAAAGGAAAGCTTTTCCATTTTCATTTTTTTTTTTTTTACCTTTGAGTATGCTGTTAGCTGTGGGCTTTTCGTATATGACCTTTAATGTGTTGAGAAAACTTCTTTTTTTTTTTTTTTTTTTTGATACAGAGTCTTACTCTGTTGCCCAGGCTGGAATGCAATGGCACAATCTCGGCTCACTGCAACCTCCGCCTCCCAGGTTCAAGTGATTCTCCTACCTCAGCCTCCTGAGTAGCTGGGATTACAGGCATGTACCACCATGCCCGGCTAATTTTTTGTATTTAGTAGAGATGGAGTTTCACCATGTTGGTCAGGCTGGTCTCAAACTCCTGACCTCAGGTGATCCACCCACCTCAGCCTTCCAAAGTGCTGGGATTACAGGCATGAGCCACCGCACCCAGCCAGTAATTTCTTTATAATCCTAGTTTGTAGGGTGTTTTTTTATCATGAAAGGGTGTTGAATTTTGTCAAGTGCTTTTTCTGCAACAATTATGATGATCATGTGATTGTTGTCCTTCATTCTGTGTATTACATTTATTGATTTTTGTGTGCTGAACCATCCTTGCATCCCAGGGCTAAATCCCACTTGGTCATGATGTATGAACTTTTTGTGTGCTGTTGAATTCAGTTTGCTAAGATTTTGTTGAAGATTTTTGCATCAATATTCATCGAGGATATTGGTCTGTAGTTTTCTCATAGGATCCTTGTCTGCCTTTGGTATCAGGATAATGCTGGCCTAATAAAATGAGACTGAAAATGTTCCTTTTTCTTTAATTTTTTTTGGCAGAGTTTGAGAATTGTTAATTCTACTTTAAATGTTTTGTAGAATTCTCCAGTGAGGCCATCCAGTCCAGGGCTTTTCTTTTTTGGGAGGCTTTTGATCACTAATTCAATGTCTTTACTACTTAGAGGTCTGTTTGGATTTCTATTTTTTCATTATTTAGTCATGCTGCTTATATGTTTCTAGGAATTTATCCATTTCTTCTAAGTTTTCCAGTTTGTTGACATATAATTATTCATCATAGTCTCTTTAATCCTTTCCATTTCTGTGGCATCATTTATGAAGTCTCCTTTCATTTCTAATTTTAGTTATTATTTCAGTCTTTTTTTTTTCTTAATCTAGCTAAGGGTTTGTCTTTTGCTGTTATTTTCAAAAAACCAACTCTTAGTTTTGTTGATTTTCTTTCTATTGTCTCCCTACACTCTATTTTGTTTATTTCCACTCTAATCTTTACCATTTCTCTCCTTCTGTTAACTTTGGGTTTAATTTGTTCTTTTTCTAGTTCATTGAGGTGTAAAATTAAATTGCTGATTTGAGATCTTTCTTCATTTTTAAATATAGGCATTTACAACTATAGATTTCCCTGTTTGCACTGCTTTTCCTGTATCCCATAAGTTTTAGTATGTTGCATTTTAGTTTTTATTTATCTCAAGGAATTTTCTAATTTCACCTGTGATTTCTTCTTTGACTAATTAGTTATTTCCACATATGTTATGTAATTTCCACATACTTGTAAATTTTCCAGTTTTCTTTCTGCTATTGATTTCTACTTTCTATTGTGGTCATAGAAGATACTTTTTATGATTTTAATCTTTTAAAACTTATTGGGACCTGTTTAGTGTAACCCTGTTTTATAAATGTCCATAGTCTCTTCTGGTTTTTCTTTATGTGAACATTTAATACTATAATATTATGGGAAATTAAATGTTGATAAAACATTTAGTTCTGAAAAAAGAAATTATAAACTCTAATCAGTTGTATATAATATACTTTTGTATGGTTCAGGGTAAAGTTCCATATCCAGTGATAATATAGTACATGGACTTTTTTTTTTTTTTTTTTGAAACAAGGTCTCACTCTGTCGCCCAGGCTGGAGTGCAGTGGTGTGATCATAGGTTACTGCGGCTTCAAACTCCTGGGATCAAGTGACCCTTCTATTTCAACCTCCCAAGTAGCTGGGACTACAGGCAAGCACCACAATGCCCGGCTAATTCTTTAATTTTTTTTTTTTTTTTGAGGTAGAGTCTCACTCTGTCGCCCAGGCTGGACTGCAGTGGTGCAATCTCGGCTCATTGCAACCTCTGCCTCCCCGGTTCAAGTGATTCTCCTGCCTCACCCTCCCGAGTAGCTGGGATTACAAGTGCATACCACCATGCCCTGCTAATTGTTGTATTTTTTGTGGAGATAGGGTTTCACCATGTTGGCCATGCTGGTCTCAAACTCCTGACCTCAAGTAATCCACCTGCCTCAGCCTCCCAAAGTGCTGGGATTACAGGCGTGAGCCACCGCACCTGGCCAGTTTTTTTTATTTTTAAACCAAAAAACATTTTTTCATTAAAAAAAAGTATGTATTCACTTGAACCCAGGAGGCAGAGGTTGCAGTGAGCCAAGATCTGGCCACTGCACTCCAGCCTGGGTGACAGAGTGAGACTCCGTCTCAAAAATAAAAATAAAATTATAAAATAAGATAATAACATAAAAATAAAAATAGAAAAGTATTTAAGGCCAGGCGTAGTAGCTCATGCCTGTAATTCCAGCACTTTGGGAGGTCAAGGTGGGTGAGGATCACTTGAGGTCAGGAGTTCAAGACCAGCCTGGCCAACATGGTGAAACACCATCTCTACTAAAAATACAGAAGTGAGCCAGGTGTGGTGGCTGGCACCTGTAATTCCAGCTACTCCGGAGGCTAAGCCAGGAGACTAGCTTGAACCTGGGAGGTGGGTGTTGCAGTGAGCCAAGATCGGGCCATTGCACTCCAGCCTGGGTGACAGAGCAAGACTCTGTCTCCAAAAAAACAAAAACAAACAAACAAACAAAAAAAGTATTTAGAACACATAAAACAAGGCCACATTTATTCTTTTTTCTCGTCTCTTGGTATGGGATCTGTTGGTGGCTCTTCCACTGTTGGCTGTTACTCTCCAAGCCAGTGTTACTATCACTGGTTCCTTCTCTGCCATACAGTCGACCCCTCCTACCCACTCTCCTTGTCCTCAGGAGTAGACATGCCTTCTTCACTGTTCCGTTGGCTCTTCTTCAGAGTGTGTCTCCTCTGTCTCCCTTGGAAGGTTCGTGTCGTCTTTCTTTTCCTCGCCTTTGTTGCCCGCTTGCTCTTCCTCAGGAACGAGGCTGCTCTGACTGGCTCAGCTTGCACTGCCGCCTCCTCCCTTTCCTCCTGCCTTTTGCGGCCCTGTTTCTCTGCCTGTGCAATCTCAGCTACAGTTTTCTCCATATCCAGTTCTACCTTCAGACCGCACAACCTTTTAAGTTCACTGTTAAATGAAGCCGTGCTTTCCAGGAATTTCCTCTTCTTCTTCTGATGCCGTTCCTCTATTTGAAGAAGTTCAGCTTCTAGTTTTCGCTGATGAACCATTAAGGACTGGACCTGTCGCTTGAGGACCTGCATGCTAGCTGTTGTGACAGCGGACGGAATGTCTGGCACCACACTGTCACTAAGGATTTCACTGATGCGGCCATGATTTCTCTGGAAACGGGCGGTGTCCGTATGCTCCATTGAAAAGCCATTGTCAGCCCAGCACGGTGGCTCACGCCCATAATTCCAGCGCTCTGGGAGGCCGAGGCAGGTGGATCACAAGGTCAGGATCAGCCTGGCCAACATCGTGAAACCCCATCTCTACTAAAGATTAAAAAAAAATTAGCCAGGCGTGGTGGTGCGTGCCTGTAATCTCAGCTACTGGGGAGGCTGAGGCAGTAGAATCGCTTGAACCCAGGAGGCGGAGGTTGCAGTGAGCTGAGATCACGCCACTGCACTCCAGCCTGAGCGACAGAGCGAGACTCTGTCTCAAAAAAAAAAAAAAAAAAGAAATGAAAAGCCATCGTCACAATCATCTGGATCTTCAGCAAGCTGAATGCTCACGTCAGGTTCTCCTCTCTTCATGCGAGACTGCCTCTGTCCACTTTCTTCCTCTAAAGCAGCTTCTGCATGACTTTTTGCAGCATTTATGTAAGCAAGGTTCGTGTGGAATTAGAGGTCTTCATAGATTCATTGTACTCTATCTTTTCTACTTTGTATTTGTTTATTCTTGTTTCTCTTCATCAGTGAGATCTCCCCACATGCCATCAATAAGCTTGCCAATCTCCCACAACTTTAGGTCAGGGTTGGAAGCCTTTACTTGGTCCCAGACCTTTCTGCTGTACCTCATGTAGCACATCAGCGGCTTATCTGGTGGCTTTGGGGGTTTTGGAATCATAATACCAAAGGACGCTGGGACCCGGCTATTGGTGCCTGGGTTGCCTCCCAGCCTGTAGTTGTTGTAGGTGAGATGACTGTAAGGATTGTATCCCACAAACCCTGGTGTACTGGACATTTGTGTTGCAGGAGCTGGGGTGGGAGTTGGGGCATAAGATGGTCTTTTTGACATTTTGGAAGATTAAGTTCTCAGTTCCTTAAGAATGAATCTGAGACTTCATGGGCAGAAAAAGTGCCCCAAGCCCTGGCTTCACTTCCCTTTATCCCATGCATGCCCACCCCTCCAATTTTTTAATTTTTTGTAGAAATGGGACTTCACTGTTGCCTCAGCTGGTCTCGAATTCCTGGGCTCAAGTGATCCTCCCACTTCAGCCTCCCAACGTGCTGAATTACAGGCACCAGCCACTGAGCCCAGCCCACTTCCTATATTATGTCCTAAAGTGGGTTTTTTGTTTGTTTGTTTGTTTGTTTACTACAAATAGCCCCTTCACTTTCAGGACTCAGACAAGCACCTTTGGGACACTAGGAATCCCTCCATGACCCTAAGAAAATGCTGCAAAAATGTTAGTTTTATTCTCCTCTCTTCACTGTAGATTTCCCAGTAGGAAGTAGGGGCACAAGAGATCAGGTTTATTCATTCAACAAATAGCATCGTTCATGCAGTGGGTGCTGTTCTAGGTGCTGAAGACAGAGCCATGAATAAGACAGAAAGAGCCCCTGCCCACTTGGAGCTTCTATCCTAGCAGAGACAGGCAATAAACAAATGAACAGTAAATGTTAATATGTCAGGTGGTGGAAAGAGCTGTGGAGGAAAAAAGAAAGCCAAGTGAAAAGGATAGCGAATTCAGGACTGGGAGAGGTGTTGTTCCTGTCCTATGCAATGTGGCCAGGGAAGGTCTCAATGACAAGGGGACATTTGAGCAGAGACCACAAAGAGGTGTCTGTAATCCCAGCACTTTGGGAAGCCGAGGCAGGCGGATCACCTGAGCTCAGGAGTTTGAGACCAGCCTGGCCAACATGGTGAAACCCCATCTCTACCAAAAAATACAAAAATTAGCCGGACATGGTGGTATGTGCCTGTAATCCCAGCTACTCAGGAGGCTGAGGCAGGAGAATCCCTTGAACCTGGGAGGTGGAGGTTGAAATGAGCTGAGATCACGCCACTGCATTCCAGCCGAGGCGTCAGAGTGAGACTCCGTCTCAAAAAAAAAAAAAGCCTGTGGGCAAGGCAGATCTATTAGGGTCTGTATACATAAAGATGTGTACATATATGTATGGTTTTTTATATGTCAACAATAAAAACAAAACAAAAATGATTTGTAAGTGACCTGTTTCTCCTTCAGATTATCTTTGCTTTCTTGAGGACTTGATTATGCATTCAAAATTATACTGATGTTGTATTTCTAAGGTATCTGTAGTGGAGGAGGGGCGCTCAGGTGCTCAGGTTAGCTGGTCTACTTTAGCACCCGGCTTAAAGCACAAATGGGAAGCTTGATCTGCTCTCCTTCATGCATTCATTCATTCACTCATCTAACTATGCATATATATATATATATATACACACACACACACACACACACACACATATATATTTTGAGATAGGGTCTGCACTCTGTTGCTCAGGCTGGAGTGCACTTGTGTGATCATGGCTCACTGCAGTCTCGACCTCCAGACTTAAGTGATCCTCCCACCTTAGCACCTCAAGTTAGGACCACAGGCACATAGCACCACACCCAGCTAATTTTTTATTTTTTGTAAAGATGGACTCTCCCTATGTTGCCTAGGCTGGTCTCAAACTCAGGGGCTCAAGAGATCCTTCTGCTTTGGCCTCCAAAAGGGCTGGAATTACAGGTGTGAGCCACTATGCCTGGCCTCATTTAACAATATTTCTTGGGCACCTACTATGTGCCAGGAATAGTCAGGCACTGGGGATCCTGTGTGAGGCAGGACAGATTTTATCCTAGCTCTCAGAGAGCTGCTCCCAGCAGAGAGAAAGGTTTTGTTTTTTATCCTCATGATTTTGCACTGTCCCTCAGCTATATCACCCACCTATCAATATTATTTCTTCCACTGGTTTTCCTGGAGACTGTCTTCCTGCTCCCCTCTGGGTAGGTTGCTTCCAAGTCCAACTACATAGCCCCTCCAGGACTGGCCCACACTTGAGTCCCTGTTTTCTGAGTCTCCGGCTTTTCTTTTCCTTGGTGTACTCTTTCCTTTTCCTAGAGTAGATTCCTGAGAAGGACAGCAAGGGAAAAAAACATTTACCTGTTTGCATATCTGAATATGTCATTTATTTTGCCTTTACATTTGACAAGTAAGTTCCTTTTCTATTTTTGTATTTTCTCTCTGATAATTACTTTATGTCTTAGTCTGTTTTGTGCTGCTATAACAGAATACTATAGACTGGCTAATTTATAAAGAACAGAAATTTATTTCCCCCACTTTTTTTTTTTTTTTTTTTTTTAATGAGACAGAGTCTTGCTCTGTTGCCCAGGCTGGAGTGCAGTGGCTTGATCTCAGCTCACTGCAACCTCCGCCTCCTGGATTCAAGTGATTCTTCTGCCTCAGCCTCCAGAGTAGCCTCCCGAGTAGCTGGGACTATAAATATGTGCTACGACATCCAGCTAATTTTTGTATTTTTAGTAGAGACGGGGTTTCACTATGTTGGCCAGGCTGGTCTCAAACTCCTGTCCTCAAGTGATCTGCCTGCCTGGGCCTCCCAAAGTGCTGGGATTACAGGCAGGAGCCACTGTGCCTGGCCTATTCTTCTCTTGAATCATTTTATTTCAGTGGATAGTTTTTATTTTAGAGATCATTTTTTCATTATTTGTTCTTTTTTATAGCATCCTATTCTTAATTTATGGATCCCATGTCATTCAAAAATATTGCTTAAAGTGAGTTTGGGGTTTTTCTTTGGTTTTCCTTACCTTTTTTCCCCTGAAGTCTCCTTTTTATGTTTGTTAGTTGTTTTACTGTCTCTTTTATGTCAACATGAAGAACTGAATATCTGACTCAATCTGGGTGTCAGGTATGTGGATTGTTATTTTTATTTATTTTATTTATTTTTATTATTATTATTTTTTGAGACGTTGTTGCTCTGTTGCCAGGCTGGAGTGCAGTGGCACAATCTCAGCTCACTGCAACCTCCACCTCCTGGGTTCAAGCAATTCTCCTACCTCAGTTTCCTGAGTGGCTGGGATTATAGGTGTGTGCAACCATGCCCGGCTATTTTTTTCTGTAGATTGTTATTAATTTT